>NC_000011.10:37635757-37787272 GCF_000001405.40 Homo sapiens | reverse complement strand
GCATAATGCTATGTCTAATCCCAAGATAGGTAAATTGAGATACATGGAGAAATTGACTAACTTGCCTATTATTATCTAGATCATGAAACAAAATTAGCTTGATTTAGTTTATCAGCAGCTTAAGTATTTTGTAAGCAATGTTACCAGCCATTTAGTTTATTTCTAAAAAACTGAGGGTCCTGGGAATTTAATCATGCCAATGCAGGTTTTTTGTTTGTTTGTTTTGTTGTTTAACATTATTAACAAAGAGTTGGTGCCTTTCACAGACTTTTTAAGATTAGGAAACAAAAACAAATCACAAAGTGTGAAATCAAGACTGTAAGGTGGATGCCTAATGATTTTCCACCAAAGCTCTTGAAAAATTGCCCTTGTTTGATGAGAGGAATGAACAGAAACATTGCTGTGATGAAGAAGGACTCTCTGGTGAAGCTTTCCCAGGCATTTTTCAGGTAGGCTTTGCTAAGTTTCTCCAAACACTCTCATAATAAGGAAATGTTACCATTGTGTGGCACTCCAAGAAATCAAGCAAAACGCCTTGAGGATCCCAATAAGGCTGTTGACATAACCTTTGCTCTTGACCTATTCACTTTTGCTTTGACTGGACCACTTCCATCTCTTGGTAGCCCTTACTTTGACAGTGCTTTGTCTTCAGAATTGTACTAGTAAACTCATATTTCCCCTTCCATTACAATTCTTCAAAGAAATGTTTTAGTGTCATAATCCCACTAGTTTAAATTTTCTATTGAAAGCTCTGCTTTTGTCTGCAGCTGATCTGAATGCAACAGTTTTGGCATCCATTAAATGGAAAGTTTGTTCAACTTTAATCATTAGTCAGAAATGTGTAATTGAGCCAAGTAAGATGGCTATGATGTTGGGCATTGTTTCTGTGGTTACTCATCAGTCCTCCTTGCTTAGGGCACATACAAGGCTATTTTGTTTTCTCACAAATTAACATAGATGGTCAGCCACTGAGAGCTTCATCTATCTATCTATCTATATATATAGATTATATATATTGTCCTTTGACTTGAAGTTAAGGGGTACATGTGCAGGATGTGCAGGTTTATTACTTAGGTAAACGTGTGCCACGGTGGTTTGCTGCATAGATCATCTTACACCCCCTAGGTATTAAGCCCAGCATCCATTAGCTATTCTTCCTGATGCTCTCCCTACCCCCACCTCCACCCAGAAAGGCCACAGTGGGTGTTGTTTCCCTACATGTGTCCATGTGTTCTCATCATTCAGCTCCCACTTATAAGTGAGAACATGCAGTGTTTGGTTTGCTGTTCCTGCATTAGTTGCTGAGGATAATGACTTTCAACTCCATTCATGTCCCTGCAAAGGGCATGATCTCATTCCTTTTATGGCTGTATAGTATTCCATATTTTCTCTATTCAGTCAATTATCAATGGGCATTTACGTTGATTACATGTTGTTGCTATTGTGAATAGTGCTGCAATGAATACACGCATGCATGTATCTTTATAATAGAATGATTGATATTCCTTTGAGTATATACCCAGTAATGGGATTGCTAGGTCAAATGGTATTTCTGCTTCTAGGCCTTTGAGGAACTGCCACACTGTGGTCCATAATGGTTGAACTAATATAAATTCCCAGCAATAGTGTAAAAGCATTCCTTTTCCTCCACAACCTCACCAGCATCTGTTGTTTTGTGACTTTTTAATAATGAACATTCTGACTGGTGTGAAATGGTATTTCATTGAGGTTTTGATTTGCATTTCTCTAATGATCAATGATGTTGAGCTTTCTAAAATACGTTTTTTGGCCATGTGCATGCCTTCTTTAGACAAGTGTCTGTTCGTGTCCTATGACCACATCTAATTTTTGTTTTTGTAAATTTAAGTCCCTTATAGACCCTGGATGTTAGACCTTTGTCATATGAATAGATTGCAAAATTATCTTCCATTCTGTAGGTTATCTGTACACTCTGATGATAGTTTATTTTGCTGTGCAGAAGCTCTTTAGGTTACATCCAATTTGTCAATTTTTTTCTTTTGTTGCAATTGCTTTTGGAATTTTTGTCATGAAATATTTGCCTGTGCCTATGACCTGAATAGTATTGCCTAGATTTTTTTTCTAGGGTTTTTATAGTTTTGGGTTTTACATTTAAGCATTTAATCCATCTTGTGTTAGTTTTTGTATAAAGTGTAAGAAAGAGGTCTAGTTTCAATTTTCTGCCTATGGCAAGCCAGTTCTCCCAGCAACATTTATTAAATAAGGAGTCTTTTCCCCATTGCTTTTTTTTTTGTCAATTTTGTCAAACATCAGATGGTTGTAGGTGTGTCGTCTTATTTTTGAATTCTCTACATTGTTCCATTTGTCTATGTGTTTGTTTTTGTACCAGTATCATGCTGTTTTGATTACTGTAGGCTTGTAGTATAGTTTGAAATTGGATAGAGTGATGCTTCCAGTTTTGTCTTTGTGCTTAGGATTGTCTTAAATATCTGAGCTCTTTTCTGGTTCCATATGACTTTTAAAATAGTTTTTTTCAAATTCTGTGAAGAATGGTATTTTAATGTGAATGGCATGGAATCTATACATTACTTTGGGCAATGTGGCCATTTTCATGATATTGATTTTTCTTATATATGAACATTCAATATTTCTCCATTTGTTTCTGTCCTCTCTGGATTCTTTGAGCACTGGTTTGTAGTTCCCCTTGAAGAAGTTCTTCACTTCCCTTGTTAGCTGTATTCTTAGGTATTTTATTCTTTTTGTAGCAATTGTGAATGGGAGTTCATTTATGATTTGGCTCTTTGCCTCCCTGTGGTTGGTGTATAGGAATGCTACTGATATTTCCACCTTAATTTTATATCCTGAGACTTTGCTGAAGTTGCTTATCAGCTTAAGAAGCTTTTGGGCTGAGATGATAGAGTTTTCAAGATATGAGATCATGTTATCCGCAAAGATAATTTGACTTCCTCTCTTCCTATGTGAATACTCTTTACTTCTCTCTCTTGCCTGATTATCCTGATGTGAACTTTCAATAGTATGTAGAATAGGAGTGGGGAGACAGGGCATTCTTATTTCCAGTGCTGGTTTTTAAGGGGAATGCTTCCAGCTTTTGCCTATTCTGTATGATATTGGCTGTAGGTTTGTCACACATGGCTCTTATTATTTTGAGGTATGTTCTTTCAATACCTAGTTTATCGAGAGTTTTTAACAAGAAAGAATGTTGAATTTTATTGAAGGCCTGTTCTGCATCTATTTAAATAATCACGTGTTTTTTGTCTTTAGTTCTGTTTATGTGATGAATCACGTTTATTGATTTGCATATGTTGAACCAACCTTGCATTCTGGGGATGAAGCCAACTTGATGGTGGTGGAAAGCTTTTTGATGTGCTGCTGGATTCCATTTGCCAGTATTTTATTGAGAATTTTTGCATTGATGTTCATCAAGGATATTGGTTTGAAGTTTTCTTTATTTTTTGTATCTCTGCCAGGTTTTCATATCATGATGATGCTGGCCTCATACTATGAGTTAGGGAGGAATCCCTCTTTTTCAATTTTTTGGAATAGTTTCAGTAGAAATGGTACTAACTCTTCTTGGTGCCTCTGGTAGAATTCAGCTGTGAATCCATCTGGTACAGGCCTTTTATTTATTGGTAGGATACTTATGACTGCCTCAATTTCAGAACTCATGTTTGATCTATTTAGAGATTCTATTTCCATCTGTTTCAATTTTGGGAGGGTGTATATGTCCAGGAATTTATAAATTTCTTCTAAATTTTCCAGTTTATGTGCATCGAGGTGTTCATAGTATTCTCTGAGGGTTGTTTTTATTTCTGTGGGGTCAGTGGTGATATCCCCCTTATCATTTCTGATTGTGTTTATTTAATTCTTCCTCTTCTTTATTAGTCTAGCTAGTGGTCTATTTTATTAATTTTTTCAAAAAAGCAGCTCCCAAATTGGTTGATTTTTTTTGAAGGATTTTTCATGTCTCTCTCTCTTCAGTTCAGCTCTGACCTTGGTTATTTATTGTCTTCTGCTAGTTTTTTTTTTTTTTCTCTTGATTCTTTAGTTCCTTTAGTTGGGCTGTTAGGTTGTTAACTTGAGATCTTTCTAGCTTTTTGATATGGTCATTTAGTGCTATACATAACCCTCTTAAAACTGCTTTAGCTGCATCCCAGAGATTCTGATACATATTTCATTGTCCTCATTAGTTTCACAGAACTTGATTTCTGCCTTAATTTCATTATTTACCCAATAGTCTTTCAGGAGTAGGTTGTTCAATTTCCATGGAGTTGTGTAGCTTTGAGTAAATTTCTTAATCTTGAGTTCCAATTTGATTGCACTGTAGTCATGGGGGCTGTTTGTTATGATTTCAGTTCTTTTGCATTTGCTGAGGAGTGTTTTGCTTCTGCTATGATCAATTTTAGAGTAAGTGCCATGTTTTGATGAGACAAATGTATATTCTGTTGAATTTTGGCTCAGAGTTCTTTAAATATCTAACACATTCACTTGATCCAGAGCTGAGTTCAGGTCCTAAATATACTTGTTAATTTTCTGTCTCAATGATCTAATATTGTAAGTGGGGTGTTAAAGTCTCCCACTGTTATTTTGTATGAGTCTAAGTCTCTTTGTAGGTCTCTAAGAACTTGCTTTATGAATCTGGGTACTCCTGTATTGGGGATGTTTACATTCAGAATAGTTAGCTCTTCTTATTAAATTGAACTCTTTACCATTATATAATGCCCTTCTTTGTCCTTTCTCTTCTTTGTTGGTTTGAAGTCTGTTTTTTTTCAGAAACTAGGACTGCAGCCCCTGCTTTTTCCTGTTATTCATTTGTTTGGCAAATTTTCCTCTTTTCCTTTATTTTGAGCCTATGTGTGTCTTTGCCCATGAGACAGGTCTCTTAAAGATCAAGCAGAATAGAACTCTGCTTACTCTATTCTGCTATTGATACTAGTGTGTCTATCAGCTCCTGTATTGTTTTATCATGATTCTTTTCTTCTTTGCATTGAGTTACAACGTGCTCCTACAGCTCAGTGAAGTTCATTACAACCCACATTCTGAAGCCTCCTTCTGTCAGTTCAACCATCTCAGCCTCAGCCCAGTTCTGTGCCCTTGCTGGAGAGATAATGCAGTCCTTTGGAAGGAAGAGGCACTCTGGCTTTTTGAGTTTTCAGTGTTTTGTGCTAATTTTTTCTCATCTTTGTGGGATTATCTACCTTTGATCTTTGAAGTTGCTGACCTTTGAATGAGGCTTTTTTGGGCTCTTTTCTTGTTGTTGTTGATGTTGTTGTGGTTGTTTTCCATTTGTTTGTTTCTCTTTTAAGAGTCAGGCCACTCTACTGGAGGGCTGTTGTAATTTGCCAGGGGGTCCACTCCAGTCCCAATTACCTTAGTTTCTCCTGTACCTGGAGATATCACCAGTGAAGGCTGAGAAACAGCAAAGATGGCAGCCAGCTCTTTTCCCTGGAGCCTCTGTCCAAGGGGGATACTGACCTGTTGCCGGCCTACATGCACCTGTAGGAGGTAGCTGGAGACCCTCACTGGGAGGTCCCACCAAGTCAGGAGGAATGAGATCAGGTACTTGTGCAAAGAAGCAGTCTGGCTGCTTTTTGGTAGAGCAGGTATGCTGCATTGGTGCAGGGGGGACCCTTCTTCATCTAGACCACCTGTATTCTCCATAGCTGGCAGGTGGTAGCTGCTGAGGCAACTAAACTGCAGAGATGGAGACCACCTCTCACCCTGGGAACTTGAACCTGCCTCAGGTGGATTCCAACCTGCTGCCATTGGCTATCTGGTTTGCCAAGACAGTGGGTATTAACTTGTGAGGTGCCCTGTAAATGGGGCCCACAGAATAACACTGCTTTGCTCCCTGGATTCACCCTCTTCCTAGGGATAGGTACACATAAATTTCCTGACTTGCTGGAGATCCTGGGACCAGAGTATGTAAAAGTCCTTGATCTTTGTGTGTGCCTGAATATCCACTTTGCCAGGACTTCACACAGCGCTATCAGACCCACAGACCTTGTGGCATGGGCTCACAAGGGGATCTCCTGACCTGTAAGTTGCAAAGATCCATGGGAGAAGCATGGTTTCCTGGACAGGACTGCACAATCACTCACTGCTTCCCTTGTCTGGGGGTGGGGCTTCCTTTGGCTCCATCCCAATCCTGGGTGGACTGTTGCCCACACTCCCTGTTTTTCTTTATTTCCTTTTGTTTGAGTTGTTTGCCTAGTCAGTCCCGATGTGAGAACCTGGATATTTTAGTTGAAGGTGCTGAATTCACTTACCCTTTTTCATTCCTATGAGTGCTGCTGACCACAGCTACTTCTAATTGGCCATCTTGGATGGAGTGAGAGCTTCACCTTTAACATTGCCTTCTTCCTTCTTAAAATGAGTTATCTATTTGTAAACTGCTAATTTATTGGGCAAATTGTGTCCATAAACTTTTCATAAAGCATTATTAATTTCACCATTCTTCCACCTAAGTTTCACCATAGATTTGATGTTTGTTTCTGCTTTAATGTTAGCAGAATTCATGTTGCTCTGATAGGAGTTCTTTTCAATCTGATGACTTATCCTTCTTAGTACCTCAAACTAGATCCTGTTCAGGCATGCTATAAGTTACTACCAAATTATTTGATGCAAAAAATGAAATCTATGCATAATTTTTTCATAATATACATTTTCCATGATTTTTTAAAAGATGCTTTGTAGTGAACTTTTAAACAAGGAAGTGCCGAGGTCAACATCTTATAAAATAACCTGAATTCATGTGAAAAATAAATAAATTAAGATACAGACAATAGTACAAGTAAAAGATCTTATCTGGTTTAGGAAACATATACCTAAGAAGGAAGGGACAAAATAATATCAAACAGCATTTTAAGAATGTAATTAACACGGCCTGATGACAAATTAATTATTGGAAGAAGAAATAGATAGAAATGAAGAGGACCATGAAACACTCACAAATGTTGAGCTGGCTATTTACAATGAGCAAACACCAGAAACTTAGCCTCTTTTCATAAAAAATATAACAAGACATTTTTTCAGTGACCTGAAGCTGTAGTTTTAAAGGTACAATAAACAGAGAGTTTACAATAATAATTTCAGCTAATTATTTATTCCTGAGTGTCTCAGACTTCCTAAAAAATTATAATACAGCAATTAATGTATGATACCTTCAAGTAGTGGAGCCCAATATCTGAAGAAACTATCTGGCAAGTCCTAGCACACTGAATAGAACCAATCTGAGAATTTTGAGGTAATTCTTCATGTTTAGCTTATTATCTTAAATAATAGAAAATGGCTCTGTGCTAGCTGTAGTACAAGAGCAGCCTCATGAAATATTTGTTGTTTTTTCAAGTCAATTTTAATTTTATTAAATATTTGACAACTTATAAACTTGTTACCTAAGGAGATATTTTTCAAAATATATGTTGACAAGTCTATCATTTGATACAAAGACTGATAGGATAGCTGAGGCCACCCTTAGCTTTGTGGCAGTCACCAAGTTATTCATTCCCTATTCAACATGCAAACCCCTATCCCATGAGCTTCTCAAAGAGGACTGAATTTCAAAGAACTCCCTCAAGCCTTCTTTTCTAGGCCAGGCCTTCACAGAATTCTGAGACATTCCCCAGGGTTAGCTATATCTGTATAATATGTATTTGTGTCTATGTCTGTATCTCTGTCTGTAAGTGGCAATTCTTTGGTGGCTTAAGGAGATAGTTTACTACTTCCAAGTTTATGCAAAACTGAGCATTTACATCATCCCACTGTAAAAAGCAAGCATGTTCCTACTTCACAGCCTCATATACAGGGGAAAGTATAGAATATCTATTTTTCTGCAATGCAGAGTTTTTTTTTATTTTCTAGAAGATTCTTTAAAGATAAATTACATTTTTCATAGTATAGCTTTTATGTGTATTTGAGGTATAATAATAACTCATATCTCTATGTGGAGAATATGGCTTTCTTCTACACGTTCTTTTCATGACTTTATCATCAGAAGCAATCCAACAGTGCCAAAGGAATTTGAGGAAAGGAATTACTACAAAAGACTCCTGAGACTATTTTGCATCAATGTGACCATCCTACCCAAATCTCAGCAATTCTGCTGCTTTGGCACTGTTAAAAATTAATGCTAAGGGGTTTATTATAGTTACATTTCAAAGTATTTTATTATTATTTAACCACAAAGCATCCTTCTAAGTGCTTTTAATAGCCTGTGCTGTAATTAAATTTTGACATGTTGCAATGCACAATGCTTCTAAAACTATAAGTAGTGCAGTTAATTGATAATTCAAACCCTAATTAAGATAATGAAGCTGGTCTTGGACATCATTGAGATGGTCACTTAATTAGCTTCTTAATATCTGTTTACTAGATGAGTGGACCATAGACTCAGGGTGATGATGGTGCAGTAAAGTTAATACAAGATAAAATAATGTGAATGAAATGAATCAGAGCACTAATATAGCTTCCCACTTTTAAACCTCCAAAGTGCTTGAGAGCTTAAAACAGTACATTCCATCTGTTTTTTCCTCCATCCACTCCCAACAAGGTGAAGTGGGAGAGCTCTAGCTCATAGTAAGAGATGCATAAACACTGATTATTCTGAATTACCATTACAGAATTTTATGGGGTGGGAAGGAAGACTCTAGATTTTTAAGTTTACACAAGCAATTCTATACTATATTATTGCAATAAGGCTATCAAGTTGGGCTTTGCATGTGTGAAAAAGAAAGTTTGTCTTTAAGGCCTTCATTAATAATTATATTAATTATTACAGTAATAATAACAGGTGACATTTATTAAGCATCCTCTATGTTCAGCACTAAGCTAGTGCTTGATGCTTTATATGCACTACTTATGAAATCTTACAACAACCAAATGAAGTAGTACAATTCTTGTATAAATGAGGGAAGTTCGGTTTAGAGAGAGGTTAAATAACAGGTCTGGATTCTTAAGAGTTAAAAAGTGTGAGACCTTACATTCAAACTACAGACTTTAGGTACTATACATCCACCACCATATAATGTTGCCTTCATTTATTCAGATGGTCTATGAGCAAAGCACTGATTGAGATAACATATTTCATGCAGGAAACTCGGTATGATTAAATAAATTGCCTCAACATCATGCCATTTGTATTTGGCACAGTTAGATTTAAACCCAGTTTTGTTGAATGTAAAGGATACATCATTGCTTTTATACCAGAGAACTGTGTAAAACACAAATGTCTTTTAAAAAAATTATGATGTAGTATAGATAAAAGTGGTCAGTTTTATGATGGTTACTCTTCACTATGTTATGCTTTCTTAAGAGAGTAAGCTTAATCAATATTCAGAGCTTCTGGGCATTTCAAAACATCTATAGAACATATAGAATGATGGCTTAAGATTGGGAGAGCCAAGCCTCTTAATAATGCATCCAATTTTACAACTAAAAATATTAAAAATGTAAAATAAATTATATAATATTCTTCTGAATTAGGCAGGACAAGTATTTATATATTTATTTTAGAGGACAACACACCAGAAATCAGAGAGTTAAGTATTTTTCCCAATGAATATAACTAGGAGAAGAGCAGGGAAGTGGAATTTAGGTTTTAAGGTAACACTTACTAGAATGCTATTATATTTCAGTATATCTGATCCTAATCTGGGAACACCAGCATCTTGCCTTTAGAAAACCAAGTAAAAGTAGTGATTCTAATTTCATGTGAGTCCCTGTGCTGACCACAGACCTTGATTTATTCTCACCAAATATTTCACACATTTTCCTCTACAGCTCTTGGAAATTTTTTTTTATTCCTTTGAACTTTTCCTCCAATCCATGTCTTATTAATAATTACTCTTTTTCAAGCTTGACTTCTCTCCTGACTTCCCCGCTTGCCAAGATACATTCACACTACCTCATCCCTTCATTTATTTTCTGTCAGTCTCAGCAGAGTTCTTGCTCTTTCTTTCAACATGGGACTAACAAATGTTACTTTGACATTATCCTCTGTCCTTCTTATAGGTAATTGTTTCATTAGTCTTTGCTTTTCTTGTTCTCTTTCTTTTTTTTAACTTCTCAAGGAAGTACCTTATATTTGTGAGAAAACATTCAGCTTTGCTGAGTCCTCAAACCATTGCAAAATGCCCTCTGCTTTTACTGCTGTAGTGTAACTATTGTCCTCAAACTCAGTAATGGCCTGTTGGTTTGCATAATCAATTGACCATTTTGGAGCCGATATCTTTCTGAATCTCTCTGCTACATTTCACAGATGTTTCTCCGAGGAGCTCTGATATCCTTGATTCTCAAGACGCCACCCTCTCTTGATTACCACTTTTTGTCTTGGACTTCCCCTTCAGGTCCCCTTTGAGAGACCTCTCAGTTTTCTTTCCCTTAGAGGTAACCAAACTGATTTCAGCTTTCGGCGCTTCTCACTCTACACAACCTCTCTCAGTGACATCATATTCTTCCATAATTTTATTCATGTATTCATTCAGTCCTTCATTCAACAAATCTCTGGCATTCTCACTATCCCAGGGAATATTCCAGATACTGCTTATAGAATGAAGATTTAAACTCATGGTCTAAGATTCTTGTTATTATATATAGACAATACACAAATAAATAGTCCAACATAGTTTCTTAGTGGTGATAATTCTAATACAGAAGAATAAAGCAAATTGGTGGAATGAGAGTGATAAAGAGTGCCATGTATTAAGATACACTTCAACAATAAACTGGGTAAAATGAAGAAGACATTTTCTAAGAGAAGAACATTTCAGAAAAAAAAATGTCAGAGCACTTTGAAAAGCCTCTGTGTTTGAAGTATGCTTGGTGTATCTTGGAAATATCAAGGATACCAATATGGCTGAGGTGGAGTGAGCAAGAAGGAGAATGGCATGAGTTGAGTTCAGAGAGGTGGAGACATGAAGATCATGAAGGCTTTGTAGGCTGCATAAGTTAAAATGGATGTTCCAGCTGCTGTAACAAAAAACAAATTTTAACAGTAGCTTTGAACACAATAGAAGTAACTTGTGTCTCATTTGGCAGTCTAAGTTAAAGCTCTCCAGAAACAATGTGCTAGTCCTGATGCAGCCTACTAGCTCATTTCATCTTTTCGTTTTGTACTAAACTCAGTGCTTCCAAAACTGCATCCAGGTGGTTATTGGTCACACATCTGTGATATATCTAGTGATAAGAAAGAAAAAAGAAAGTGAAAGCAAATGTCTTTTACTTGGAATGAATGACTGAAAGGTTAAACACATCATTTATATTAGTGTTCTTTATGTAAGAACCCCATTACATAACCAAAATTAAGTCCAAGAGAATTAAGAAATGTAGTTTTTAGCTGCATGTCTATGTCATAAGCTAAAAGTTCTATTAATATAAAAAGAAGTAGGGAAATATTGGAGAGAGATGGCAACCTGTAATACAAAGGCAAGGATAATTTTGAATGTTACTCTGAGTATAATGAAAAAATCTAGAAACATTCTGGGTAGAAAAATGACTTACATTTTCATGCCACTCACATTTTTAAAATAGATCTATTTATGTGTTCTGTCTAGTAATCAGAAATCAGCTATTTGATAGTTGGATAGTGGCAAGGGAAGAGTGGAAACAAAATGGCTAGAGATATGGTTTAGCTGTGCCCACATCCAAATCTCAACTTGAATTGTATTTCCCAGAATTCCCACGTGTTGCAGAAGAAACCCAGTGGGCGGTAATTGAATCATGGGGGCTGCTCTTTCCCATGCTATTCTTGTGATAGTGAATATGTCTCATGAGATCTGATGGGTTTATCAGGGGTTTCTGCCTTTCCTTCTTCCTCATTTTTCTCTTGCCACCATGATGTAAGAAGTGCCTTTCTCCTCTCATCATGATTCTGAGGCCTCTGTAGCCATGTGGAACTGAAAGTCCAATTAAACCTCTTTTTCTTTCCAGTCTCGGGTATGTCTTTATCAGCAGCATGAAAACAGACTAATGGTTCCAATAGAATGGGGCATTGCTGAAAAGATACCTGAAAATGTGGAAGCGACTTTGGAACTGGGTAACAGGCAGAGGTTGGAACAGTTTGGAGGGCTCAGAAGAAGACAGGAAAATGTGGGAAAGTTTGGGACCTCCTAGACACTTGCTGAATGGCTTTGACAAAAATGCTGATAGTGGTATGAACAATAAGGTCTAGGCTGAGGTGGTCTTAGTTGGAGATGAGGAACTTGTTGGGAACTGGAGCAAAGGTGACTCTCGATATGTTTTAGCAAAGAGACTAGCAGCATTTTGTCCCTTCCCAAGAGCTTTGTGGAACTTTGAACTTGAAAGAGATGATTTAGGTTATCTGGTGAAAGAAATTTCTAAGCAGCAAAGCATTCAAAGGTGACTCGGGTACTGTTAAAAACATTCTGTTTTATAAGGGAAGCAGAGCATAAAAGGTTGGAAAATTTGCAGCGTGAAGGTGCAGTAGAAGAGCAAAACCCATTTTTTTTTTAGGAGAAATCAAGCCTGCTGCAGAAATTTGCATAAGTAGCAAGGAGCCTAATGTTAATTCCCCAGACCATGGGGGAAATGTCTCCAGGCCATCAGAGACCTTGTCAGCAGCCCCTCCCATCATAGGCTAGGAGGCCCAGGAGGAAAAAGTAGTTTCGTGGGCCGGGCTCAGAGTCCATGTGTTGTGTATGTCACGCGCATCTGTGTGAAGCGACCACGAAGCAGGCTTTGTGTAAGCAACAAGGCTGTTTATTTCACCTGGGTGTAGGCGGGCTGAGTCCAAAAACGGAGTCAGCAAAGGGTGGTGGGATTATCATTAGTTCTCATAGGTTTGGGATAGGTGTACAAAGTACATTCTTAAGTGTGGGGAAAA
Source organism: Homo sapiens (assembly GCF_000001405.40). Lineage (NCBI taxonomy): Eukaryota > Metazoa > Chordata > Mammalia > Primates > Hominidae > Homo > Homo sapiens. Next base: position 37,774,437 of record NC_000011.10, on the reverse strand, counting down.
TATTACAAAGTACCTTCTTAAGTGTGGGGAGAATATTACAAAGTACCTTCTTAAGGGCGAGGGGGAGAATATATCGTATCAGTTAGGGTGGGGCAGGAACTAATCATGGTGGAATGTCATCAGTTAAGGCTATTTTCACTTCTTTTGTGGATCTTCAGTTGTTTCAGGCCATCTGGATATATAAGTGCAGGTCACATGGGATATGATGGCTTAGCTTGGGCTCAGAAGCCTGACAGTGTGTGGCTTAGGGACTTGGTGCCTTGTGTCCCAGCTGCTCCAGCCATGGCTGAAAGGGGCCAACATAGAGCTTGGGCTGTGGCTTCAGAGGTGGAAACCCCAAGCTTTGGCAGCTCCCACGTGCTGTTGAGCCTGCAGGCGCAGAGAAGTCAAGAATTGAGGTTTGGTAACTTCTGTCTAGAGTTCAGAAGATGTATGGAAATGCCTGGATGCACAGAAAAAGTTTGCTGCAGGGGCAGGCCCCTCATGGAGAACCTCTGCTAGGGCAGTGCAGAAGAGAAATGTGGGGTCGGAGCTCCCACACAGAGTCCCTGCTGGGGCACTGCCTAGTGGAGCTGTGAGAAGAGGGCCACCAGCCTCCAGACCCCAGAATGGTAGGTCCACTGGCAGCTTGCACTGTACACCTGGAAAAGCTGCAGACCCTCAATGCCAGCCTGTGAAAGCAGCCAGGAGGGAGGCTGTATCCTGCAAAGCCATAAGGGTAGAGCTGCCCAAGACCATGTGAACCCACCTTTTGCATCAGCATGACCTGGATGTGAGACCTGGAGTCAAAGAAGACCATGTGGGAGCTTTAAAATTTAACTGCCCCACTGGAGTTTGAACTTCATGGGCTCTGTAACCCCTTTGTTTTGGCCAGTTTCTCCCATTTGAAACAGCTGTATTTACCCAATAGCTGTACCCTCATTGTATCTAGGAAGTAACTAGCTTGCTTTTGAATTTACAGGCTCATAGGTGGAAGAGAGTTGTCTTGTCTTAGATCAGATGTTGGAATGTGGACTTTTGGGTTAATGCTGAAATGAGTTAAGACATTGGGAGACTGTTGGGAGGGCATGATTGGTTTTGAAATGTGAGGACATGAGATTTAGGAGGGGCCAGGGGCAGAATGATATGGTTTGGCTGTGTCCCCACCCAAATCTCAATTTTATCTCCCAGAATTCCCATGTGTTGTGGTAGTGACCCAGTGGGAGGTAATGAAATCTTGGGGGCCAGTCTTTCCCATGCTGTTATTATGATAGTGAATAAGTCTCATGAGATCTGATGGGCTTATCAGGAGTTTCCGCCTTTGCTTCTTCCTCACTTTTCTCTTGCCGCCATGATGTAAGAAGTGCCTTTCACCTCTCTCCATGATTCTGAAGCCTCCCCAGCAATATGAACTGTCAGTCCAAATAAACTTCTTTTCATCCCAGTTTCGGGTATGTTTTTATCAGCAGCATGAAAAGATACTAATACAGCTAATTAGAAGGTTTTTGTTTTAAATAGCATTTACATGTTCACAATTCTCAAGTCTAAGTTATTATTTTATATCATTCATTGGATTTTTAATCATGGTTAATCTTATAGTTTATTAGAGTCTCTATTATTATATCTAACAGGCAACTCAAGTTTAACATGCTGAAAATCCACTCACTTATCTTTGCCCCTAACATAATATTAGGTTGGCAAAAACCGCAATTACTTTTACATCAACCTAATATTATTCTTATATTCCTAGATTCTCCATCTTGAAAGGTGGTAGCTAGAAAATTTATGTTTTTGCTTCCATCTTTCATTTTTCATAACACTTCAATTCTTCATATAACTTTTTTTAAATTAATATATTGTATTTTTAGGACAGCTATGTGTGTGTCTGTGTGTAGAGATATACTCTGAAGAGAGAGATTGTGTGTGTATGAGATACATATAGATACAACACACTTATATAAAAACATATATAAGAACTTATATAAGAACTTATATAAAAACATACATAAAAACTTATATAAAAATATATATATATATATGACAGAGAGACAAGTTTGTAAAGATTAGCTGATACAGTTGTGTAGACTGACAAGTTCAAAATTTGCAAGTGAGTTGGCAGGATGGACACCCAGGAGAGAATTGCAGTTCGAATTCAAAGGCCTTCTGCTGGCAGAATTCCTCTTCCTCCAGGGAGGTGAATCTTTTTTTATTAAGGTCTTCAAATAATTACACAATGCTCATCTATATTATAAGACATAATCTCTGCACTCAAAATCTAATTATTTAAATATAAATATCATCTAAGAATATCTTCACAGAAATATCTAGAATAATGTTTGATCAAATATCTGTATACTATGGCCTAGCCAAGTTGGCACACAAAATTAACCATTACACACTACTCATCCATTCACCTATGAAGGATACCTGGGTTTACCCAGCTTTTGCAGAACATAAATAAACTGATATAAACATCAGTGCGCAAGTTATTGTGTGAACATATGTTTTCAACTAAATAGGATACACACCTAGGGAAGTGGTTGCTGGATTATACGACAAGGCTATGCTTAGCTTTGTAAGAAATGCCAAATTGTCTTCCAAAGTGTCTACATAATTTTACATTTTCACCAGCAATAAAGGCTAGTTCCTGTTACACTACATCCTCACCAGCACTCAGAATTGCCACGTTTTTGATGTTTGCCCTTCCAATACTTTTATATTTAGCTTTGTGAGACATTTTGGGTTAATTTTTGTAACAGGTATAAAGTCTATATCTACATTCTTTTTTTTTTAATATAGAGAGTCTGATTGTTGAAGCACCATGTGTTGAAAACACTATTCATTCTCCATTGAATTACCTTTGTTCATTTCTTTGTGAAAGATCAGTTGAGTATATTCATGTGGGTCTATTTCTGGGTTCTCTGTTCTGTTTCATTGATCTATGTGAATATTCTTTCACCACTGCCACCCTGCTGTGATGATTGTAGCTTTATAGTTAATCTTGAATCAGGTAGTAGTGTCAGTCTCCCAACTTTGTTCTTAAGTGTTGATTATTCTGGGCTTCTCGCCTTTCCATATAAACTTTAGAATTAGTTTGTCAATATTGATAAAATAGTTTACTTGGATTTTGATTTGGATTGCATTTATTTCATTGCACAGCTTTTTTATCTCCCAAATATTTCCTAGTCTGATTTCCGCCAATACCTACTACTACCACCATCACTACCACTACTACTGCTACTACTACCACTGCTGCTGCTGCTGATGTTGGCGCTGCTGCCCTATTTCAGGCTTCGTTATGTCTTTCTGGAATAAAGAAAAGCTTTATGATAAGCCTCCTGCCTCCAATCTGGTCCACTTCAAATATATTCTTTGTATATGGTTCTAATTAAAATGAATGTTAGGCTATTTAAATCTCTATAATAAACTCACATGCAAAAGAAATTCTACATCTGAACAATGTCCTTTTTTTTGTTAGTTTTTCTTTAAGTTACTGCTTTAGTTTACCTTCTATATTCCAATAACCACAGACTTTTTGAAGTCCTTCATCATCTATATTCCTACTCTTATGTGTGTGTGTTATTAGGGCTCAGTTGTAATGAAGTGCCCATCTCTTCTTCCTTGGCTTAGAGAAATTCAGTTTACTTCCTCCAGTATATTTTAAAAAAATACACACTCACATCATACATTGACTAATTCCATAATTGCTCACATATTTTTGTATCCCTGTATTTTAACAAAGCATCATAATTTTCTGCTTAAGTGCCCTTTACTCCTTATGAATAAAAACTAGTTTTTATTCAATTTTGTTTCTGGTGCACTTAACATAGTGATTGGCATATTTTGGTACTCGGTAAGAATTTATTGAGTGAATAATCAAACAAATAAATGAGTAAAAATATGATTTCATTATTCATGGAAGAACTAGTAATATTGTCATTACATAATATTGCTCTTAATTAAAACAAATAACTTTTCAAAGACCAACTTAGATGACAAAAATCATTTGGTCTTTTAACAGCTGTTCTCCTATTTAGAGTTCTCAAGTTTGTTGCCAATCTTCTTTCTTTTTCTATGTTAGTCATGGGGATTGGTTCTGTTCCTATGCCAAGTGTCTTCTGACACACATCTGTATTTAGTCAGCATTTAACATTCTTCAAACATTATTTTATCTCTGTGAGTGAATGTGCAAACTATACCTTTGGATATTTTAGTTGACAAGCTATGTATTTATTTTTAACTTCGCTTTGACTTCTGTCTAAAGACTAAGTATCCTCCTTCTGACTTTACTATGCACTTTTATTAGGAGCATACAAAGGCAAAATTTGTTTTAAAGTAGTAAATAAAATCACTTAAAGTAGATGTAACATAGCCCATTATTTTACACCTAAACAGAACATCTTTTTTCTTCTTTTGATTATTGGTTCATTTAGGAGTTTAGTTAAAGTTAATCTGTCTGTATGAAATTTACAATACACTAAACCGAGACAAAATAAATACTAAAAAGAATTTATTACAGCATTTCCCAAACTTTTTTTGTAGAACCAATCCTAGGAGATGCCTATTTCTACTCTGAGCAGTACAGTAGAGGAGGATTATACATTTCAGCATGTTTCTCTTTAACTGTGTTTTCAAAACAAATTTTTATTTTTCATCAATCACTTACTTTGAGACAGAAAGCAATATAAACATTAATTTTATTGCAGTATTTACCATATTTGGGTGAAAAGGCATTGCCATAGTTTTTATTTCTTAAAATAGATATCTCAGAAAACTTTTACAAAGAAACTGCTGATCTTTGTTCAAATTTCCACATTATTGAGATGGCAAAATCATACCTTCCATTATTACCAATGTTGGTTTCTGGTTCCTAAACTGGGAAAGACTATTTCAGAAAAAGTACATCCTAAGAAATAGTGATTATTCTTTCGAACTTGAATAATCCAGTAAATCACCCTTACAGTTCTTGTCAGATATGAGCCAAATAGAAAACTTTTAAGATGGTTTTCTAGATTCAGCAACATTGTGAGTTGTTTCTGAATCTAGAAAAAATATATAACATCCATTTACAGAAATAATTATAGGTATAGTTATATACACACATATATAGGACATTGCTATACATGCTATTTATGTATAAACATAGTATAACACAATATTGATATAGTAAACATTTATGAATGTGCAGTTATCTATTTATTGCCATAATATATATGTGTGTTTGTGTATGTGTGTGTATATATATATAATTTATATATATATTTTTTATATATATATATATGTGTATACATGCCTATACACATTGCTGTGGTTTGAATGTATCCCCAAAAAAACATGTGTTGGAAATTTAATCATAAATGCAATGGTGTTGGGAAGCGGGGACTAATGAGAGGTGATTAGGTTGTGAGGACTCTGCCCTCATTATCATCATTATTGTGCAAGTGAATTTTTTTTTTTTAGAAAAGGATGAGTTTGGCACCCTTTGTCTCTCTCCTTCTCCCTCTCCTTTTCTTCTCCCTCTGACCATGTGATACCTTCCACGATATTATGACACAAGAATTCCCTCATCAGATGACAGCGTGTTGACCTTAGATTTCTTACTGTCCGGAATTCTAAGGAAAGAAATTTCATTTCTTTATAAATTACTCAGTTTCAGACATTCTATTAGAGCAGCACAAAATGGACTAAGACGTATACACATACACACACAAATATGCATATGTGCACATTCATATATTTACAAATTTGTAATTAATCTGTTCTAATGTTAATTAAATTTTTGCTTATCTCTGTATTTCTCTTAAAGGGGTACTTTAACTCCATCATTCACCTGTAAACCAATTAGTTTCTAAGCCATTTAATATGATGGGTTTTTTCTAAGAAATATAATTCTAATTGGACTTCTGAGACATGAAAATGTTCACTGTGGCAAAATATAGACAAATCATTATTGCATTTAATGGCTAAAATACTTGAGAAAAAAAGCATTTTGGAAACAATTTAAATTGAATAAAATGCTTTTCTACATGGAAGACTTTCAGAGGCAAAATATTTTTTAAATGTTCAGCAATATTACATCAAAAGTTGACTTTTATGACACTGTACTACAATCTTTCATAATATCTGTTCATAAACCTTGTTAAGGTTTCTTTTTAAAAATAAATTACTTAATAAGACTTTCAGGAGAATAACTGTAGACGTTTTAAAAAATTCAAGTGTGAAGATAAATTATGTTCAGAGTAATTTATTTTCTTGTACCCTGAGGAAGTTAACTGTTTTATAAAAGAAAATTTTTTAAATGGGTGCAGTGCTCACACCTGTGATCCTTATGACTCAGGAGGCTGACGTGGGAGGATTTCTCAAGGCCAGGAGCTTGAGATTATTCTGGCCAACAAAGCAAGTCCCCATTTCTACAAAAATTGAAGAAAAAATACTTGGCAAGCACTTGTAGTCCCAGCTAATAGAGAGGCTGAGGTGAGAAGATCACTTCAGCCCAGGGGTATGAGGCTGCAGTGAGCTATGATCATGCCACTGCATTCCAGCCTGGTTGACAGAGCAAGACCTAAAGTTAATTTAAACTATTTATTCAGAACTAATAGATTAGCTTGAATAGACAACTAAGCAGGTCATTTCATTCCATACTCAGGTAGCATAAATTAGTTTGTCACTGAGTGTACCTGAGTTAGGTTATTTTATGACACATATTAATTATTTATATATATATATGTATTCGATATATGTCTAAGACAGAGCTTTGTACTGATTTGGAGACTAGAAAATTAGAATTAATTTCTTATTTTAAGAGTAAATGCAAATGAGATAGAGAGAACTCATTGACAGTTGAGAAAGGCAATCTAGAAGAATTTTTGATGACAAATTGATTTAAGCTCCAGATTGATAATTTAGTTAAGAAGGACTTCATCCTAAAAAAATAAATTAAGGTGGAGATTCTGGGAAGATGGAAGAATAGAAAGTATTAGAAATATATCTTTCCATCTGGCCAAAAATTGTACTGTCAGAATCTGTCTGATGCAACTGTTTTGGAACTACGAAGTTTATTGAAAGCTTGCAACTTCCAGGGGAAGGCTTGGAGGGTCAATTTTGGCTCTGGGCACTGCAGCAGCTACCCATGTTCACACCCTAGCCCTGTGACAGGCACCTACACATCTTTTCCAGGAGCAACTTGCACATAGTTTTAGAAAGCCAGGATTCCAAATATTGAAAATCTGTTCTCTGATCACTGATTACTGCTTCTGACAACAGAGGCACAGACAAAAAGTGAGCACCATTGTTGTTGTACCTCCCCCAGTTATTGTCTCTCTCTTAGCTAAAGTGACCTTTAGAAAATTTAAAAAATCGACACCTTTACTTTTCCACCTTCATATTTCTCTTTCTCCTCTTTTAAAACAAAACAATGAGGACTACTATATTCAGAAGAAACCACATGCATGGAGGAAATCAGAAAGTCACTGTGAATGCCCAGGTGCAGGCTCAGGAAAGATCTGAGAGAAGCTTCTGTTTACATCCCAGGGTGATCATTGGCACAGAGAAAATGATTTTTTAAAAATCAGAAACAAACTAACAAAAATCCCAGCAAGCCCTAGGAAAAGGGAAAACAAATCTGACTTTCAGAGTTGACAAGTTATTAGATTCAAATGTTCTGTTTTCAACAAAATCACAAGGCATTCAAAAAAAATAGAAATTTATAGCCCATTCAAAGAAAAAAAATATATATATATGTACCAACAGAGACTGTTGCTGAAGAAGATGGTGGATGTACTAGACAAAGACTTTAAAGCAACTGTTTTGCACAAAGAACTAAAGAAAATGTGAAGAACATCAAAAAAGAAATAATGTATGAAGAAACTGGAAACATCATTCTCTTAGATGTTTAGATACAGAAAACCTAAAAATAAAGCAAAAAGAAACTCTTGGGATTAAAAATATAATAAAGAAAAAATCACTAGAGGGATTCAAAAGCAGATTTGAGCAGGCAGAAGAAAATATAAAAGAAATTGAAGATAATGCAATGGGAATAAGTGAGTATAAGAGAGAAAAACAAAAAAGATAGAAGAGAAGTTAATAGAACCTAAAGGTCCTGAAGGACACCATCAAGTGGGCCAAAATATGCATTCTATGAGTTCGAGAAGACAGAAAAGAAAAAAACGGGGTGGAGAGAATATTTGAAAAAATGAAGTCTGAAACTTCCCAAATTTGATGAAAGACATAAGTATAAACATGCAAGTAGCTCAATAATGTCCTAATAGAATGTATTCAAAGAGATGCACACCAAGACACATTATAATCAACTGTTCAATGGCACAGAATAAGAGCATTTTCAAAGCAATGAAAGGGAAGTAATGGATCACATTAAAAATAATCCTTGATAAGAATATCAGCAGGTTTCTCATTAAAAACTTTGGAGGCCACAGACAGTAAGCTGATCTATTCTACGCAATAAAAGAAAGAAAGCTGATATATTCTATGCAATAAAAGAAAGAAAAAATGCTGTCAGTCAAGAATTGTATATTTGGCAAAACTCTCCTGCAAAAGTGAGGGAGAAATTAAGACATTCCCAGATACATAAAAGCTAAGGTAGTTTAACACCACTAGATCTGCCTTGCAAGAAATGCTGAAGGTAGTCATGTACATTGAAATGAAAGCGTACTTATGAAAAAATAAAGACCTTAGTAGAAGAAAATATATGAGCCACTAAAAAAGCTACTATTACTGTAATAATAGTGTATAATTCCACTTCTTGTTCTCTACATGATTTAAGAGACTAACACATTTTATAGTATCCCTAAAGCTAATATCATTGTAACATTGGATTGTAACTCCCCATTTTGTTTTCTTCATAGTTTAAGAGACTAATACATTAAAATTTTTAGTTCGTGGGTTTGAATTCACAATGCTTAAAGAGGTAATTTTGTGACATCAACAAATTAAAGTTATTAAAGCAGCAGTTTTTTATGTTATTGAAGTTAAGCTGATATAACTAAATTTAAATGTTACAACTTTAGGATGTTAAATGTAATGCCCATGGTAAACATAGCAAAAATATCTTTAAAATATACAGAAAAGAAATGAAAAAGGAATTTAAATGTTTCACTACAAAAGCTTAATGAAACAAAAAAGAAGACAGTAATGCAGGAAATGAAGGAGGAAAGGGTAAAATACATATGGAAAACAAATAGCAATAAAAACGTCTCTCTCTGTTAGTAATTATTTTAAATGTAGAGCGATCAAACTCTCCAATCAAAAGATACAGATAGTTTGGGAGACTGAGGCAGGTGAATCATTTGAGCCTAAGAGTTTGAGACCAACCTGAGCAACATAGAAATACCCCATATCTACAATAATAATAATAATAATAATAATAATAATAATAATAATACAATTATCTGTGCATGGTGGCACATGCTTATAGTCTCAACTGCTCAGGAGGCTGAGGTGGGAGGACTGCTTGAGCCCAGGAGGTGGAAGTTGCAATGAGTTGAAATCATGCCATTAGACTCTGGCCTGGGTCACAGAGTAAACCCTGACACTCCCCACCCCTGGAAAAAGAGACAGAGATGGGCAAAATTGACTTTATAAGCACAATCTAGTTATATTCTGTTCACAGTAAATTCACTTTGGATCCAAAAAGACAAATAGATTGAAAGCGGAAAGACAGAAATAATATTTCACACAAGTAGTAACCAAAAGAGGATAGTTATGGATATACTAAAGTCAGTGAAAATAGATTTTAAATTTTACAAAGGGTTAGAAAATGCAAAGAGGATTATTTATTAATACATGTTTAATTCAGCAAGACGTTGTAACAATTATAAACATTTAGGTACCTAATAACAGAGCAACAAATACATAAAGCAAAAATTGACCAGTGTTGGCAAGAATGTGGAGAAATGAAAACCTTATGAGTTGTTGGGAATATAAAATAATGCAGTTGCTATAAAAATAGTATGGCAATTACGAAATAAATAGAATTATAATAAGATCCTGAAATTCAGTTTTTGAGTACATACTTGATAGCATGGAAAGCAGTGTCTCATGAGATCTTTGGACATCCATATTCATAGCAGCAGTATTCTTAATAGCTAAAATGTGGAAGCAGTGCAAGTGTCAACTGATGGATGAGTGGATAAGCAAAATACAGTACATACATACAGCAGAATATTATCTTACCTTAAAAACAAAGAAAATGCTTCAATGGATGAACATTGCAGACACTATTGTAAATGAAATAAGCCAGACACAAAAAGGAAGTGTATGATTCCACTTATTTGAGGTACTTAGAACAGCAAAATCATAAAGATGAAAAGTAGAATGGTGATTTCCAGGGACTAGGGGAGAGGGATTGAGGAGTTATTTTTTAATGAATATAGAGTTTCTGTTTTATAAGATGAAAAGAGTTCTGGAGATATATGGTGGTGATAATTGTAAAACAATGCTAATGTAATTAATACTACTAAGCTGTATACTTAAAAATGGTTACGATAGTAAATTTTATATTTATTTTGCCACAATTTATAAAACATAAAAATAAGTTAGAATGAAAAGATAGTATTATATTTTCAAGGATTCAAGTATAATACCATATTTTGATTTAGTTAATGATTCCTAATTTGGGGTGTACATTAGAATCACCAGTGAAATTTTCAATTACGAGAGCTTAAACCCATTTCTAGATATTCAAATTAAGTAGGTTAACAGTGGAGTTCTGAATCTGCATGTGTATAAAGTTCATATGATAATATTAGAGCATACCCTGGCTGAGAATCACGGGATGAAGATTGGATTGCAAGTCAAAGACTACAGGGCTACATCATTCAATGTGGGAGTGAGCTTTGGAAGACTGAGGAATAGATGGAGGTGTTTCTGTAATCAGTCCTACATGGAGTCATCATAGCATAGTTCATAGTTACAGGCTACAGTTACATAGCTACTATAGCATACTTTACAGTTACATTAAGCTTGACTATGGATGTTTAAATATTTTTTTTAAATTTATTGAATTGTTCCATACCTCTGGTTACAGGGCTTTCTGTTATTCATTCAATTGTAGGGGCACTTCTTCCCTCAACAGTAATATTTAGGAAAGTCTTTTCTAGGTTCAATGAGTTTCACCAATCTCTGTGTAGCTACTCTTCTGTTCAGAAATATAATGAATCTATACATGTATTTTACTGTGCTAATATTTCTATAATGATAACATTGTTAACACAATAGTGCTTATGAGGCAGTTCTAATAAAATATACCTACAAGCCAGAATAATCTAAAATATTGCTGAAGCATTTGTTTAAAAATCTGTTTTAAAAATTATGCATGATAGTTTAGACATATAATTAAGTAGTATGTAATTTAATATCATTAAACACATTTAAGTAGGCATATGTCTGCAAATGAAATAAAAAATTGAGGTAAATAGCACTATTTTTATGGATCTCAGATAGAACTGATCTTCATGTGTCAAACTTTGCCTCAAGAATAGATTCTCTACCACTATCTGGTTACAGTGAACCTAGACTGGTAAACGTGTGCATTTTGGTTGTTAGCATTACAAATACTGCTATTAACAGTGAGTTTCTGGCCAGGCGTTGGTGACTCATGCCTGTAATCCCAGCACTTTGGGATTCTGAGTCAGGTGGATCATCTGAGGTCAGGAGTTCGAGACCAGTCTGGTCAACCTGGCAAAACCCCATCTCTACTAAAAATACAAAAATTAGCTCGGTGTAGTGGCAGGTGCTTGTGATCCCAGCTACTCGGAAGGCTGAGGCAGGAGAATTGCTTGCATCTGGGAGGTGGAGGTTGCAGTGAGCCGAGGTCGCGCCACTACACTCCAGCCTGGGTGACAGAGCAAGACTCTGTCTCAAAACAAAACAAAACAAAACAAAAAAACAAACAAACAGTGAGTCTCATCTAAATTAGTAGTGGGGACTGAATGCTTATGGTTATATCATCTATATGTCTCTCACACTTCCACACAAAAATTATTCCTAGGTGTGCATGATAGTGTTAGTTATTAAATAATAAACATTGCAAATACTCTACGCATTTACTTTATTTTGCCTCAAACTGAGGTAATATTTGGCCCGTGACAAATTGGTTTCTGAGTGAATCATATGTACCATCACTGTCTGTAATACAATAGCTTCCTTCATGACATCTGAAAATTAACCAAAAACCACACTTAAGGCAGGGTTTAAGAACTCTATTGTCTCATTATGGCTTTCCAATCTTGATTCTTTCCTTTTAGATGGCAATAGAAAAAAAATTCAGGAGGAGGACTAAGGTCTAAAAATACAATGCTTTTTTATATTGACCTTCCATGTTTGGCTAATCAGCATAGAATGTCCAGCTGATCGTCAATTATAATTCCTGATAGTCCTCTGTGAAATTATCTTTAGAGTTAAACCACAAAATATTGACACTATGCCTACCTAGAATAGACAATTGTTATGTCTGGAAGGGAAGTTTTAGGTATTCCTACCATGGTAGAAATCAGGTTGTATAATGTGTCAAATACTTAAAAGCATGTTTAAGCATGAATGCCATTAAATATAGTTGCTTTCATTCTGAATATTAAGGCAATATAACTATTTAATGTCAGCCAGAGAAAATGGAACACAGTCTACAGGATTGGGAAATATTATAAAATACATAAATGCTCTGTATGCCATCTATAGGAACTAAAAGGTTTGTCTTAGTGCATAACAATGTACAGCTTGGAAAATAAGTGTTTGTTAACTAACATGGCAACCAGAAAGACACTGTGGCTTAGGGGAGTTTGTTCCTGAAACATTTAATTAAAATTTTCCAAGGATTTCAAATGGTTTCCATGTATCATTGAAGAACTGTATTCCCAATCACTACAACTAGAACAACTCAAAATGGATTGCTTATGTTGACATTATTTTCACTGATGTAAAAAGAAAAAAAAGAGGTGTATTTCTGCACCAGAAAAATTTTAACTTTTGTCTGCAAGAAATTATAAATATGAAAAAAACCTGCTTTTGTATGGAGAAAATTATTTGGGTTAAACTAGAGCAAACTTACAGCATTTTGACCAAATTTTTTTTTTTCAAACATCAGAAATTCTGTTTTCTCTATGATCAAAGTTGAAACCTCTCAAGTCACATTTGCAGTTACCCTCCACTGTAGCCCTACTATCCATTCTGCTACCAAATGCTAATGAATTTATTTAAATATTTTATCTTCTCTTTTTGAATTTGCATTATGTCTTGATTCAGATCAATCTACTTTTCATTGACAATGTTACAGAAGCCTCCTATTCAATGTAATATCCAAAAATATTTATTAAGTCTTTAGTATATTTCCAACACTGTGAAGGACTGGGCACATGATATATACTGATCTTACAATTGCTTTCTTTACCTACATTCATTTTTTTTTCTGTCCAATAAATTCTACCAAGTGAATACATTCTAAAAAGGGCTAATGCTATGATTCCTCTAGTGAAAATTCTTCAGTGTATATTAGACACAAACTCCTTATTTAGGTTTTCAGGTTTTTCAACAAATCAGCTCTAAAATGTTGTAGAACTTTGTCTCCCACTTCTCCATTTTAAGTCTACTTTGATCGAACTGAATTGCTCACTGTCCCTAGCATATACTTCCTTTCAAAAACCATTTTTTTTTCTCACAGGATATATGCTTTTCTACTTCTCATTCATCAAAATTCCATTTTTATTTAAAATCTTCTTTGAGTATCAAACCACTACACAGCCTCTCCTAGGAACCCTTTCTTATCTCTTTTATGGTATTATTTTGCACTTTTCTATAATTACCTTTGAAAGTTCTGGGACCCTTTTTATTTATACCAAGCAAAATAAGCCTAAACCAAAACGAGTTAAGCAGTAAAGGAAATATGTAAACTTCAAGTAATAAAATGTCTAAAAGAAATTGGATTCAGGGATTGCAGCCTAGTTACTAAGATGTAATTTTTTTCTCTCTATCTCTTGACTGTTGTATTTAATGTTGTGTTTATTTTCAGGTCTGCACTGTCCATATGTGATCTCCAGCAATTACAAGTTTGTGCGATTCTTAGAGCTAGGAAGAAAGACTATTTTTTCCTGATAATTACAAAATACCACTGAATTAATTTGAAAGATTTGGGTATGCTGACAAGCCAACTTATGAATTAATCACTAAGGTGATGAGAATTGAATATATTGACTGGTGTAGATAAAGTTTACCAAACCCAGAGCTTATAGTATTACCAGTTCTACTCGAATGATGTGGACAAAGAATGGATGAGTGTGTAAGTCAGGTCTTATTGTCTAACTTCATAACTTAATGGCATAAGCATAAACATTAATCATCATCTACAGTATTCAGCTGATATTGTCAGGGTTGGTCCTCTTTCTTTAGGCTAGCTCTGTTATGCAAATGTCTCATTCTCCTTTGGGGACCAGTGGGCTAATAACATAATATCCAAGGTTCAAAATAGCAAGCCTTGTTGTTGAAGACCATTTTAAGCTTTTGCTTATATCATATCCACAAACATAGGTCATTCAAAGCAAATCAAATGGTGGAGACCAGAATCAAGGAGCAGGAACATCACCCCACCTGTAGTATGAGGTACTTCAAGTTCATGACTACAGAGAACAAAAAATTGGGGCCAGGAATAGTTGTACCTAGAGGGAAACACAAGATTCTCATTAAAATTAAAGTTAATAGATTGAGGGGAAAAAATAGCCATGGTGTAGGCCATTCTATCTTTATCTTAATCAATTCTTAATATGTTCTAAGAATCCTGAAGACATAGACTATATCTTATTTAAAAAAACCCTGTGGTTCCTGAAACAGTGTTAGATACAGGGTATTCATTCAGTTAATATTCATCAAGTGTAAAATTCCAAATTCATTTTTGCAACAAATATTATACCCCTTTTCTACAAAGAGGCATGGAATTTTCAGAGCTTGCATATATTACTTAGAAATATTTTTGGCCTCAATTAACAGATTACCTCATTAATAGTAGATTTAATCAACAGGAATTCAATTTCTTTGATTTAAGGATGTGGAGATATATGCAGCTGCTTCTTTCAACCGTTCATTAATGTCAGATACAGTATCCTTATGATTTTCTTTGCCTTTACCATATGGCCATAGAATAGCTATCACAGCTGCATGCATCACGTCAGTATTCATGGTCAGAAGGCATGGCAAAAGTCTGGTGCCAGCTATACGTGTACCTACAGCAGAAAATATGTTTCTCAAATAATCTCCAGAAAATCTCTGTCATTGACTAGAACGAAGTCACCTTTAATTGTAGGAGAGACTAAGAAAGTGAATATGCCTCTTACATGTTTTATTGTGGAAGAGCAGAAGGAAAAAGGGTTTTCAGAGATTGGAAATGTTTTAATAAACTAGCCAACTGCAGTCCCGACCTTTACTGCCTACACTAGACAACAGTACAAATTAGACTATTATTATTCAACAGTATTAATTAGTCAATCATGGTTTATGTAGATAAATATTAATTTTAGAATAAAAATCTAAGTGTGAAAAATGGAAAATTAATAGTTGGAAGACTACACTAGACAACAGTAAAAATTAAACTATTATTATTCAACAGGACTCATTAGTCACTCAAAAAATGTTTATGTAGATAAATATTAATTTTGGAATAAAAATCTAAGTGTGAAAAATGGAAAACTAATAGTTGTGCAAGTTTGGAAAGGGGACATAACTTTTCATGCCTCTGTTCTGTAATCACTACCACAGAAATTATGAAACTCACTTTGAAGGGTTATTGTGAAAATTCAATTAGATCATAAAACTGAACTGCGTCACACAGTATTCAACACAACACCAATTCTCTGTAAGTTATACTTAGTATTATTTGTTTGACAAGTACAGAATATTTTACTCTACACAGAGCAAGATACTAAAGATCTATGGATTCTGAATTTAAACACTTTGCTTCTTGTTCTACAGGAATAATTTTAAAACCTTTCCTGTCCCATTGCACTGTAGGATAGCTATAGATAACAATAATATATTTAGTATATCAAAATGATTAAAAGAGAGAATTTTGAATGTTCTTATCACAAAGCAATAATAAATATTTAAGTGAAGGATATGCTTATTAGTCTAATTAGATAATCATACACTATATTTTTGTATCCCATGAATATGGACAATTATTATATGTCAGTTAAAAATAAAACTTTTTTTTTGAGAGAGTCTCGCTCTGCCGCCTAGGCCGGAGTGCAGTGGCACTATCTTGCCTCACAGCAAGCTCCACCTCCTGGGTTCAAGGAATTCTTGTGCCTCAGCCTCCTGAGTAGCTGGGATTACAGGTGCATGCCACAATGCCTGTTCGTATTTTTGGCAGAGATGGTGTTTTGCCATGTTGGCTAGCCTGGTCTCAAATTCCTGGCCTCAAGTGATCCACCTGCCTCGGCATCCCAAAATGCTAGGATTACAGACATGAGCTACCAAGCCCAGCTAAAAATAAAAATTCATTTTCTAGATTGCCAAAAGGACAGAGGCACTTTATCACTTTTCCTTTTTTTTCCAAAAATCTCATGTTAATATTGAAATGGTTACTAGTATCTTCTTGCTCTCCATTTTTTTTACGATTCTATTAATTTAGGAGGGGTCTACAATATTTTTGAATTGAATGTATGTAATCTATTTGTGTTATGCAAGATAGATTAATCCAGCCAAAAGGATAGTATTACCACAACTGGAGAGACAGAAAGAGAGAAGGATGTTTTATACTTATTTTACAAAATTACGTGCTGTGTACTGCTTGGAAAGAAATTTCCAATATATAAAATTATTATAAATTTTTCTTAAAAAATGACTGAGAGAATATGCATGTAAAGGGCCCAAAATTTCTTCAGAAATCTGCAGGTGGTTCAAGGGAGTTTGGTGTGGTGTTAATGGTAACACTATGAGTCTGTACAGTACTTTAAAGTTTATTCAAATATTTTATGTCAGATCTCAGAGTTGGAAAGTAGATCATACATTTCTTATCTGGCTAATAAGAATGATGAGGTTCAAAAAGTTTATGCAATTTGGTAAAGCTTACGAGAGAGTCAGGGAAGAGCTGAGAATAAAACCTAGGATGTCAGATCCCAAGCCTGGAGCCCCGAGCACCAGAAGCTGCGTTACTATATCCCTGGTGAATTACCTGGGCTGCTTACAGCACTGTGCCTCTATTCCCTCATTGATAAAATGGAGATAACACCAGTATTTACTTAACAAGCTTGTTGCATTAGTCTGCTAGTGATGCTATAACAAAACACCTTAGAATGGGTGCTTAAACAGCAAACATTTATTTCTCACAGTTCTGGAGTCTGGGAAGTCCAAGATCAACTTGCTGACTAGTTTTGATTACCAGTGAGGGCCTACTTTGCAACCTTTAGTAGGCTGCCTTTTTTTTTTTTTTTTTTTTTTTGAGACAGAGTCTCATTCTGTGACCTAGGCTGGAGTGCAATGGCATGCTCTCGGCTCACTGCAATCTCCACCTCCTGGGTTCAAGTGATTCTCCCCTCTCAGCCTCCCGAGTAGCTGGGATTACAGACACCTGTCACCATGCCCCGCTACTTTTTGTATTTTTGTAGAATCAGGGTTTCACCATGTTGGCCAGGCTGGTCTTGAATTCCTGACCTCAGGTGATCCATCTGCCTCAGCCTCTCAAAGTGCTAGGGTTACAGTCGTTAGTCACTGTGCCTGGCCAGTAGGCTGCTTTTTTGCTGTGTTCTCACATGGTTAAGAGAGCATAGTATGTCTCTCTTCTTCTAATAAATCTATTAATCCCATTATGAAGACCCCCATCTTCATGACTTCCTGTAATCCTAATTACCTCCCCAAGGCCTTATCTCCACATACCATCATATTGGTTGATAGGGCTTCAGCATATGGATTTTGGGGTGGACAAGATTTATTTTATAATAGTCATCATGAAAATTAAGTGAGATCACATGAAAATTTTTGAGTAATGACTGGCACTTAATAAGCATGTTTAAACATGTTAGGTATTATTTTTAATATTATCCTTAATAAGATTCACTTTCTGGAATCATCTAGGTAGCACAGAGTGAGGTAAAGTAGAAATGATCTGAATGTTTCTAATAAACTAAATATTCTCAGTGTTAAAGCTACTCTGGTAGTAGATTGAACATACTAGGAGACATTAAATTCTGTGGACTCATTAGAGGTTTACTGCTCTCAGCAACAACTTATACACTGGCCAACTCAAGTTAACAGCAGTATCCAATAGCATCAAAATGTCAGTTAGCAATGGTTTCCTCCCTTGGATATTTCTGACCAACTTTTGTCCAATAAGACTTTGTTAGATATTAATAGCAGTCTAAAATCAGCCTTAACTGATTTCCTTTGTTTTAGCAGGTCTGATTCTCCCTTTGAGGATCTTGCTTGTTCATAAGATTAACTCAAATGAATAACTTTGTATAATATAACCTAAAGGTTGAAATTACATTTCTTATTAAACAAAGAGCAAAATACATTGTGAATATTTATCATGAGCCATAGACCGTATTACTCAACCTATAAAGATGGACCTGGAGAGTTCAGTCTGTAGGAATTTGTGTAGACTAAAGGGAAACAGATATGAAAACAAGTATGTTCAATGTAATTTCACAAGTGCTACAGTGAAGAATGTGGGCAAATGCTATTGATGACAGATGAAGGACCAGCAGGCTGGAGAGAGTGGGGTAAGTGTTAAGAGTTACAGGGTTCTCAGACTGGCAGCTGTTGGCTGAGTCTAGCCACAGACCAGATGCAATTTGAATAACTTACTGGCATAAGCTCCTAGTATTCATGATATGGCATTATTTGTTCTTGAACACTAACTCCTGATAATACTCTCAAAGTTTCTGACTATGCTTTGTTGATACTGAACACAAATGCATTCCCTAGAGTGTGCGAGAGACTGGAAATTATCACTCATTCTCTAGTCATGTTGAATTTACTGTTTGAAATTTTATAGTATAAATGTAGAACAGCACATCTTTCAACAACATCCCCTCTTGAACTTCTTAGGCCATAGTCAACTGCATCCCTACAACGTGGTATTTTTTTATGTTGTAGCACTACCTCCTTCCACATATAGCCACCAGAAGAAAGTCAGGGAGAGGTTTCAAGCAAAAAGAGCAATTCAATTTACACAAATATCATCTATACCTTTCCTGCCAGGGTTTAACATCATCTAGAAGAGCATACCTTCACCACATTGATCAGACACAAGAAAATACACAGGTCTGAAAAGACCCTTGGTATAAGGAGCAGTCTTCAAGCCCTTCAAACAGATAGGTATGGCAATCACAGGACTTTCTCATATGTGATGAATTGCCTGTCAAGGAGTTGGAATGACGCCCTGGGTACAGTGTGCAGAACATCTGCCACCACTCACATTACCTTTAGGTGCTGTAAACTAGAGAAGACACTGTGGTCAGAACACACAAAGTTGAAAGCTGACACAGCAGCCTATCTACACATCTCAATTTGAAGGGTCAACCAGGGATTATCATAGCAATAATTCTGAACTCACCCTATGTCTGATGTGAGCATAACTCCAAATCAGCATGTCAGCACCATTCTGGAGGTCCTACCTCACTGGATCTCAGGAAAGTAGTACTGCATTTGCTCACTACGCTATGCTTCTGTATTCTGGTCTGTCCACATTGCCCTGGGAAGACCCTCCTAATCACAAGTCCTGGAGCTTCTCCATCCATCAGGTCAACCTGACTTATGGCAAGGGATGGATGTAAAAAGCCAAAGAACATCTTTGAGGAGAGAAACAAAGACCAAGGTCTATGCAGATCCTGTCTCTGCACAGACAATCCTGCCAGCTTCAGTTAGTTCCAAACACCAGACGAGATTTAAATTTTTTGAGGAAGGCTCTCCAAAGAACAAACAGGGCACATGGCAGGAGTGCCTCTTGTGTGGTCTAAAGGTGCTAGCCTATTATGCTGAATGTGCTTTGTTCTTCTCCAGAAGACAGATGATATATCCTCAGCAGTTACATGCCACATGGTAGATTACCAAATAAACATGTTATGTGCCACGTGGTGGATGACTAAATAAACGTCTTTAAATAAAGGTTTAAATGAGTGGAAACAGGAATAAAAAAGAGCTTATATTATTGTTGTAGCGAGTGATGAAGAGCTCGGGCTTGGGGATGATATTACCTGGGCACCATTTTGGCTCCAATCTTACTTGACATAAACAGATTCCTCAATTTAAAAATGAGAACAATAATTCAATTGACATGCATGCTTTTATGAGAATTATATATAGCATAACATATGAAAGAATTAATACAATGCTTGACTCATAGTGACTAGTCAATGTACTTTCCTGATATTATACCTTCATAAGAATGTTATGAAGATTATATGAGGTGTATAAAGCACTTTGAACAAAGGCTGGCACATATAAAGTGCTCAAAAATACTAGCTATTATTGCCACTTCTTCTCCTGTATCTCCTATTCAGGATTTAAATGACTTCAACAAAGAGTCAAACAAGTTCAGCTTGAACAATTCTGTTTCTTAGAAATTCCATTCTCTTTGTTACTTCTTATACTAATTTTTCAAATCTAGCCTTTTCCTTGTTTTATCTGTTCTTGTTCTTAAATATAGATTTTTTTTGAAGTAGCAGCAGTATCTTGGGCAAGTCGAATATAATATTTTTATGAATGTAGAAACAATTATTTTATTTTTTAAAAAATCTTTTTAAAATTTAACAAAATGAATACAGTAGTATATAAAAATAACAATACATCATGACTAAGTTTCATCCAACGAATACAAAGCTGGCTTAGTATTGGAAAGTCAATCCATATAATTTACTATACGAACAGGCTATAAGATAATACCCATATGATCATCTCAGTAGATGCACAAAAAGTATTTAACAAAATTTAATACCTATTTATGAAATAACAAAACTCTCAACAAACTTGGAATAGAAGGGAAGCCCTGAAACTGATGGAAAAAAAAAAAAAAACCTGCTGCTAACATTTAATGATGAAATCAGAAAGCTTTGCCCCTAAGATTAGGAACCAGGCAATGATGTATGCTTGTACCACTTTTATTCAGCATTGATTTAATATCAACATTTAATACCAACGTAGATCACTGTAGTTTAACACTCCTGAGCTCAAGCCATTCTCCCATTTCAGCCTCCCAAGTTGCTGGGACTATATTCTTATGGGAAGTATAGTTGTTCATTTTTAAAATTGAATTTAAAAAATTTTGAGATAATGTTGGATTCACATGCAGGTGTAAGAAAAAACACAGAGAGGGCCTGGTGTGGTGGCACATGCCTGTAATCCCAGCAATCTGGGAGGCCAAGGCAGGAGGATCACCTGAGGTCGGGAGTTCCAGACCAGCCTTACCAACATGGAGAAACCCCACCTCTACTAAAAATATAAAATTAGCCGGGTGTGTTGGCACATGCCTGTGGTCCCAGCTACTATGGAGGCTGAGGCGGGAGAATCGTTTGAACCCAGGAGGCAGAGGTTGCCATGAGCCAAGATTGCACCATTGCACTCCAGCCTGGGCAAGAAGAGCAAAACTCTGTCTCAAAAAATGAAAGAAGAAGGAAAAAAAGAAAAAGAAGAAAGGAAGAAAGAGAAGAAAGAAAGAAAGAAAGAAAGAAAGAAAGAAAGAAAGAAAGAAAGAAAGAAAGAAAGAAAGAAAGGAAGGAAGGAAGGAAGGAAGGAAGGAAGGAAGGAAGGAAGGGAAAGAGAAAGAAGGAAGGAAGGAAAGAAAGAAAGAAAGAAAGAAAGAAAGAAAGAAAGAAAGAAACACACAGAGATCCCTTGTACCCTTTCCCCAGTTTTCCCCACTATAAACATGTTGCAAAATTATATTATAATATTGCAACTTGGATACAGACATTGATACAGATAAGACACTCCTGTTCAGCAAACTGTCTTACAAATGCTGATCAAATCCTGAGAATTGGTGGCTTTTTTTGAGTTCTTCTATATTCTTGCTGATTTTCTGGACAGTTTTTCTATCAATTGTTAAGAGATGGGTGTTGAAGTCTCAACTGTAATGTGGATTTGTCTATTTCTACTTTTAGGTTCATGAGTTTTTTTCTTCACATGTCTTTGTAGCTCTGGTGCTTTTGGGATTGCTAGGCCTTCTTGGTGGATTAACCTATTTTTATTATTCAAAAATGTCCCTCACTGTCTCTGATAATTTTTTTTCCTGAAGTCTACTTTCCCTGATATGAATATAGCCATTGCTCCTTTCTTTTTAAAGAATGTTTAACTATAAATTTTTATGTGTACATAATAGGTGTATTAATACATATTTATGAGGTACACGAGATATTTTGATACAGGCATTCAATGTGTAATCATCACATCAGAGTAAATGGAGTATCCATCATCTCAAGCATGTATCATTTCTTTGTGTTACAAACATTCCAATTATACTCTCTTAGTTATTTTTAAATATACAATAAATTATTGTTGACTATAGTCACCCTATTGTGCTATCAAATAATAAATCTCATTCATTTTGTAGAACTATATTTTTGTACCCATTAACCATTCCCAATTACTCCTGCCACCACTACCTTTCCCAGCCTCTGATAGTCATCATTCTGCTCTCTATATCCATGATTTGAATTGTTTGCATTTTTAGCTCCCACAAATGAGTGAGAATATGTGAAGTTTCTCTTTCTCTGCCTGGCTTTTTTCATGTAACATAATGTCCTCCAGTTCCATCTATGTGATTGCAAATGACAGGATCTCATTATTTGTTTATGGCTGAGTAGTACTCCACTGAGTATATGTACTTCTTTTCCTTTATCCATTTGTCTGTTTATAGGCACTTAGATTGCTTCCAAATCTTGGCGATTATGAAGAGTGCTGCAATAAACATGGGAGTGTAGATATCTCTTTGATATACTGATTTCCTTTCTTTGGCTTATGTACCCAGCAATGGAATTGCTTGATCATATGTTAATTAAATTTTTAGTTTTTTGAGGAGCCTCCACACTGTTCTCCGTAGTGGCGACGCTAATTTATACTCCCACCAACAGTGTTTGAGGGTTTCCTTTTACCCCTTGCCAGGATTAATTATTGCCTGACTTTTGAACAAAAGCCATTTTAACTGGGGGAAGATGATATCTCATTGAAGTTTTGGTTTGCATTTCTCTGATGATCAATGCTGTTCAGCATCTTTTCATATACCCATTTTCGTACCTTTTTTTTGACAAATGTCTATTCAACTTTTTAGCCTACTTAAAAAATTGGATTACTAGGGTTTTTATTCCTATTGAGTTGTTTGAGCTCTTTATACATTCTGGGGATTAATTTCTTGTCAGATGAGTAGTTTGCAGACATTTTCTTCCATTCTGTGGGTTGTCCCTTCACTTTGTTAATTGTTTCCTTTTTTGTGAAGATATTTTTTTAACTTGATATGATCTCATTTGTCCATTTTTACTTTAGTTACCTGTGCTTATTGGGTATTACTCAAGAAATGTTTGTTTTGGAGAGATTTTCAATGTTTTCTTTTAGTACTTTGATAGGCTGAAGTATTATATTTAAGTGTTTTATTCATGTTTATTTGATTTTTGCATAGGGCAAGAGATAGAAGTCTTGTTTCATTCTTCTGTGTATCCAGTTTTACCAGCACAATTTATCAAAGAGATTATTCTTTCCCCAATATATATTTTTGGCACTTTCATTGAAAATGAGCTCACTGAAGATGTATGGCTTAATCTCTTGAGTTCTCTATTCTGTTCCATTGGTTTATGTGTCTGTTTTTATGCCAGTGTCATGCTGTTGGGTTATTACAGCTCTGAAGTATAATTTGAAGTCAGCTAATGTGAGTCCCCCAACTTTGTTCTTCTTGCTTAGGATAGCTTTGGCTATCTTGGGTCTTTTGTGGTTTCATGTAAATTTTAGGTTTTACTTTTTCTATTTCTGTGAAGATTGTCATTGGTATTTTGACAGGGATT
Organism: Homo sapiens; assembly: GCF_000001405.40. Classification (NCBI taxonomy): domain Eukaryota; kingdom Metazoa; phylum Chordata; class Mammalia; order Primates; family Hominidae; genus Homo; species Homo sapiens. Next base: position 37,750,474 of record NC_000011.10, on the reverse strand, counting down.
GCATTAAATCTGTAGATTGCTTTAGACAGCATGGATATTTTAACAATATTGATTCTTCCAATTAATTAACATAAATATTTTTCAATTTTTTTTTCAATTTCTTTCATCAACATGTTATAGTTTTCAATATAGAGATCTTTCTCTTCTTTGGTTAAATTAATTCCTCAGTACTTAAATTTATTTGTGGCTACTGTAAATGGGATTACATTTTGATTTCTTTTTCAGATTGTTCATGGCTGGCATATAGTTTTGTATGTTGATTTTGTAGCCTTCAAATTTACTGAATTTTTAAATCAATTCTAATAGTTTTTTAGTGGAATTTTTAGGTTTTTCCAAATATAGCGTTATATCATCTGCATACAAAGGGAATTTTATTTCTTCTTTTCCAATTTGGATGCCCTTTATTTACATATATTTTCTGCTTGCTCTAGTTGAACATCCAGTACTGTGTTGAATAACAGTGATTAAAATGGCATCCTTGTTGTGTTGTATATCTTAAAGGAAAGATTTTCAGGTTTTCTTTGTTCAGTATTATAGTAGCTGTGGGTCTGTCATATATTGCTTTTATTTTATACAGGTATGTTATTTCCATGTCCAGTTTTTTTAGGGTTTTTATCATTAATAAATGTTAAATGTTATCAAATGCTTTTTCAGCATCAATCGAAATTATCATACCAATTATCTTTCCTTCTGTTAATATGATATATCACATTGGCTGATTTGTGTATGTTGAACCATCCTAGCATCCCTGGAATAAATCTCACTTGCTCATGATAAAAGATCATTTTAATGTGTTGGTGAATTTGGTTTGCTAATATTTTGTTGAGAATTTTTGCATCCATGTTCATCGGAGACATTGGCCCTTAATTTTCTTTTTTAAATGTGCCTTTGTCTGCTTTTGATATCAGGGTGATACTGGCATTGAAGAATGAGTTTCGAAATCTTTCTTCCTCCTCTTCTTTTCAGAATAGTTTGAGTAGAATTGGTACTAGTTCTTCTCTACATGTTGGGTTAAATTCAGCAGTGAAGCCATTGTGTCCTGGGCTTTTCTTTACTTGGAGATATTTTATTATGAATTTGATCTCATAACTTGATATTGATCTACTCAGGTTTTAGATTTCTTTCTGGTTTAATTTCAGAAGATTCTATGTGTCTAGGAATTTATCAATTTCTTCTAGGTTTTCCAATTTATTGGCAGGTACTTACTCATAGTAGTCTCTAATGACCCTTTGAATTTCTGTGGTATGAGTTGTAATGTCTCTATTTTCATCTTTGATTTTCTTTGAGTCTTCTCTCTTTTTTTCTTAGTTAATCTGGCTGAAGATTTGTCAGTTGTACCTTTCATAAAACCCATGTTTTGTTTCATTGATTTTTTTGTATTATTTTTGGGCTCAATTTTATTTATTTCTGCTCTAATCTTCATTATTTATTTTCTTCTACTAATTTTGAGTTTTGTTTGCACTTGCTTCTTTAGTTCTTTAAGATGCATTGTTAGGTTATTTATTTGAAGTTTTCTGCTTTTTTGTACAGGCATTTACTGTTGGGAAAAAGCTGAGTGTTGGGAAGAAAGCTGAGGCAGTGCTTGCATGTCTGACATAATGTCCTCTGGAATGTGTCTAGACTTGCTGGCTCCTTGTTTCTAGCCCTCCTAGGCTCCTAGATAGATTATATTCCCACTATCTCAAGTAGCAGAAGATGTTCCATACAAATGCTAAACTGTCACAGCTGTAGATCATGTGTCTGCCCTTTTGATCCCCACATTCTCACTACCTGTTTCTTTGTTGGATTACCAATAAAGAGTGTGGGCTCCCAGAGCTCAGGGCCTTCCCAGCCTCCACAATCGCTATGGCCCCCTGGTCCCACTTTAGTTCTCAAACTGTCTTTTTCTCAATCCTTTGACTCCACCAGACTTCCTCACCCCTACGACCTGGTGCTGGGTCTGATTACCCCAACACTAACCGCTATAAATTATCTTCTTAGTACTGCTTTTGCTGTATCCTATAGGTTTTGAAATGTTGTGTTTCCCTTTTCATTTATTTCATTCATTTATTTTTTAATTTAATCACTGACTTGCTGGTTATTTGGAAGCATATAGTTTAATTTATATGTATTTGTATAGTATTAAAAGTTCCTCTTGTTACTGATTTCAAGTTTTATTCCACTGTGATCAGAGAAAATACTTAATATGATTTCAATTTTTAAATAATTTTTTACTTGTTTTGTTGCCTAACATATCTTCTACCTTTGAGAATGTTCCATATGCTGAGGAGGAGAGTGGTGTTTATGAAGGTCCATTCTTGTATGGATAGTTGTTCAATTTGGTTTTCCTGCATTGGGTGATGTTTGCTGGAGGGTTCTATTTGACCATCTTACTCCACCACTTCTAATACTTTCTTTTGTAAAAAAAAAAAAACTGGATTTCACATGCCTAGCATGTATACCATTGTATATATCAATATATGCACCCTTGGGAAATCTGTAAATAATTAAAATGGCAGATTTTCCAAGTGAACTAAAGGACATACCAAATAGCCCCAGTGGATTGGAGCATTAGATAGATATGAAATGCCTTTAGGCTAAATAAACATTCTTATTTTACCAAGATAAGTGCAGGAAATGTCCTTGTAGAAAATAAATTGGCAAACTTTTACAGGATGTCTTCCTTTGTGAGGCCCACATTGTTTAAAGAAAATCAACCTTACTTAGACCTCTAGTATCCATAGATCTATTTACAATGATGACATGGAAAACCAAATGCATTTGAAAGATTATTCCTTCTCTCAGATGATTCCTCAAAGCTCATTTTTTAAAGTTAAAATTTTAATGTTTTTTTAAGAAAATGTAAAAGATTCATTTTAATTTTAATTAAAGAGTTTAATACATGTGTATTCTATTATTCATATGATTCTATAGAAAAATATTAAGTCAAGTTTTTTTATGCATTGGGGATTCAAGCTGAATAATTGTTTAATGGATTAGTAACTTGCTTTAGGTAAATCCCCAAATTGAATTTCAATTTATGGTTCCATAAAAACAGACAAATTCTTTCAATTGTTGTTCTTTCTTCAAGTGATTTTCAAACTATACTGATTATTTTCTTTTCCAAATAACTCAGAGGACTGGGAAAGTCATCTTGGTGAATGATGGTTAGTGACTAATTCTTACTCTTATTTCTTTTGGAAATTACAACAGGGCAGGAGAAGGGAAGTTATTTAGTATATTCTGGCATAAAATTTTGCATGCCTTTTTAACGAATTTTTTGTTCATTAACCGACAATAATAATTCATATAGGCATGGGAATGGGCCAACAGTTTTCTACATTCCATGTATACAGAGCATGAGATGAAGATGTAGTTGTTAATAAATGGCTGACATGTAATGTTCTTCTTCACTCTGCATAATGCAGTCTGCAGTGAAGTTCCAAGTTAACTATGAGGACTTAAATCTCCCCATACTTCAGGCACAGCTGGTCTCACTCTGTGCAATAGAATGTTACCAAAGCAACCTTCACATTTCCCTCAGCTTGACTAAACTTTAGACAAGATTTTTCCTGACTATAGGTCCTGGAACTCTCTTTTCTTGCAGTATTTACTTATAAAATCTATAGTAGTAAATTGTTTCCCTGCCTCTTCCTTCTTCTACCCTCTTGTTAGTTTTACAATCCAGAAATGTCATTCTCAAGATTCCGGGAGCCATCCCTTTGACATGCAATTATCAAGAAAGATTGTGTCCCTATCTCCCAGTCTCCGTGGGAGAGCAGGAGCCTAACTTCAATAACAGCCAATAGCAAAAACAAATGGCCTAATCACATTGATGAAGCTCCTTACTAATGTCCTTCAATACTTTTCCACTAGCACATCTCAGTGCTTAAAAACTCTTACGTCTTGTTTTAATGGAGTTGAGTTCTAGATCTCTCCCCTCTTGCAATAATCTTGAATAAAGTCTTCCTGGCCCATCCAACTCCATATAATGTAATTTTTCTTCAACAAAAGCAATAAGCTCCCTATACTACCTTGGTCATGGCTATGCCTGTGAACACTTCAAGAAGAACACTAGGCCCCAGAAATTTGGTTAGTCCATCTTACATAAACTTACTTAGATGATAGATTAATATAAGCAAAATTTATAGGGGATACTTAAAATTTTATAAGTAGCATGAAAACTACTTGCACTAAGTACAACAAAGTTCTCACATGTAAATCAAGAGAAATAGGTGCATAAATATTCTAAAAATTTAGTTTTATGCTGATATAAATCTGATGTCTTTAAATTGTAATTATTTCTTAATGTATTTAGACTACATTAGCATAAAATAAAAATGTGGGTTAAATAAAGTTAAATGGATTTTTAATATAGATCTATTCAGAATATGCCATTGAGCATTGGAAATCGGTGAACTATAGTTCGAACTATTTTAAAAATGTATTTTTCCAGACAACAATTTTAACAAAGAATATCTCTGAGGCCTGAGGTTCCTTGGAACATGTTGATCAATAACACTGAGCATTGTTTCTCAAATCTGGCTGAATATCGAAATGACATTACAGCTTTTTTTTTTCACATAGAGTTTCCCTGTGACATAATTATAACAGAGCCAAAGAAAATCAGTCTATTTCCCTTATCTTTTCCTTGTTTGTTTTTTAATGTATCAAAAGCCTTTGATGAAGCCAGTACACAATGGTTTTGCAATTGAGAATCACCATTAAATAAACTTTTATATATTCAAATTCAAAAATTTTACTGAAAATTTAGAGGTTTTTTCTATTTCAAAAATTGTTTTAGGAATTTGAGTCTATTGTTGAAATGTTGTAGTTCCATCTTCAAATGATTTTATTATGACCTTAATATAAATCTAATTAGTTGGTAAACAATTTATGTGCTTCTTTCTAAATATCTCCTTGAAGGGTTGCTTAAATCAAACCCTTTATAATATTCTTTCTTTTCTCCTCAAATGTGAAAACAAATGTCTCAATATGTCTCCTAGAAAACTGTTCTATTTTGGATTTTGGTGCCAACATATTAGTATTTACACCGGTATTTGTTCAATAAGAGACTTATCATAATTTTATCATATAATGTTGTTTTAATTAAAATGAAATTAAATTATCACCAATCAGCCTATAATTTTTCTGGTATCACATAAACATATAGTACACATTTAATAGCCATGTCCCGCTTAAAATCATGGGTTAACATAAAAAATGATCAAAACTATGTGGCTCAAAGAAAATATCTATATTACTTTATGTATCATATATATTATATATACTATATTATAGATGAATATATATAATATATATTATATAACGTATTATATAATACATATTATATGTTATGTGTGTATAACTTCCAAAATATATATTTATATTTTATATAATATATATTTATTTCTTATATATAAAATATATAATTATATTATATTATACATATTATATAAAATATATAATTATATTATATTATACATATTATATAAAATATATAATTATCTTATATAAGATACATATTATATAAAATACATAATTATCTTATATAAGATACATATTATATAAAATACATAATTATCTTATATAAGATACATATTATATAAAATACATAATTATATTATATAAGATACATATTATATAAAATACATAATTATATAAGATACATATTATATAAAATACATAATTATGTTATATAAGATACATATTATATAAAATACATAATTACATTATATAATATACATATTATATAAAATATATAATTATATAATATACATATTATATAAAATATATAATTATATTATATAATATATATTTACATATAATTATATATCATACATGATTATATATATACTTATATTATAGATAATGTATAATTATATATAATTATATTATAGATAATGTATAACTATATATAATTATATTATAGATAATGTATAACTATATATAATTGTATATAATATATAATGTATAATTATATATAATTATACATATAATGTATAATTATATATAATTATACATATAATACATAATTATATATAATTATACATATAATATATAATTATATTATATGTATAATTATAAATAATATAATTATATATAATATAATCATATTCTATATAGTATAATTATATATAATATAATTATATAGAAATATAAATTATATATTTATATATAATTATATTTTATATATAATTATCTATAATATAAAATTATATTATATATAATGAGTAATTATATATAATTATATATAATATAAAATTATATTATCTATAATTATATATAATATAAAATTATATTATATATAATTATATATAATATAAAATTATATTATATATAATGTGTAATTATATATAATATATAATTATATTTAATGTGTAATTATATATAATATATAATTATATTATATATAATGTGTAATTACATATAATATAAAATTATATTATATATAATGTGTAATTATATATAATATATAATTATATTATATATAATGTGTAATTACATATAATATAAAATTATATTATATATAATGTGTAATTACATATAATATATAATTATATTATATATAATGTGTAATTACATATAATATAAAATTATATTATATATAATGTGTAATTATATATAATATATAATTATATTATATATAATGTGTAATTACATATAATATAAAATTATATTATATATAATGTGTAATTATATATAATATAAAATTATATTATATATAATGTGTAATTATATATAATATAAAATTATATTATGTATAATGTGTAATTATATATAATAAAAATTATATTATGTATAATGTGTAATTATATATAATATAAAATTATATTATGTATAATGTGTAATTATATATAATATAAAATTATATTATATATAATGTGTAATTATATATAATATATAATTTTTATAAAATTACTATATATAATTATATTGTATATTATATAATTTATATATTATATATAACATATTTTATATTATATAATTTTTATATTATATAGAATATATTTTATATTATATTATATATATTTATACATAATACACAATATATAATTATATATATTTTCTATATAATATAATTACATATTATATAGAAAATATATATCATATCTAATATATAATTATATTATATATTATACATAATTCTGGAAGTTTTACATATTTTATATATTTTTGACATATGACATATATAAGTTATACATAACATATACAATATATGTTATTATATATAGTGTATGTTATATATAATATATATTTTGTATTATATACATATAACTTCCAGAATGTATATATTTTGTATATATAAATTATATACACATATATGTATGTATAATATATGTATATATAATATACATATGTATAATATAACGTACATATATATAATATAATGTATATTATAAATTATATGCATATATACATTATATACATGTATATGTATAACTTCCAAAATTATCATAGATGTAAATAAAGTGATGAGTTAAAACTAGTTTACAAATATGCTCTTTTGACAAACTTTCATATAGGAAAAAGCCTGTCTTATTTACTTTAGAAATTAAACAGACCGAATGATCTTTTTAATACGTGTCATCCCAATGCCCATGCACCCACATACACATACATCTCATGTTAATAAGTGATAACTTAATTATCTGTAACAACAACTTTATCACAGTTTGGGATACGTTTCTTTTATGTAGAGTTGTTGCTTTTATTGTTTTTCTTCCTATACTAGTTTGTCATCTTGTCACAGAATGCACTAAGTCTTGAACACTGGAGCAGAGTAAAATTTAAGTAAGTATTAGTAATTATTATTATTACTATTGTTATTCTCACTGCTATTATTATTGTCATTCTAAATTTTCCTATATCAATAAATAAGGCTAATAACAAAATCATATACATCTTACAAATGTTCTAAGATTTTTAAAAAAATGTAATTTATCACTGTATGATCTTACCTAAAGGTAAAGAAATACAGAATATTCAATAACTGTAACAGTATCTAATGGCAAAGAGGGGAAGAAACCCATATTGCTCATGGTAAATTTGAGTTCACATCCTTGCCTTTTAAGCTCACTCCAGAGTCATTTTAACCTTTCCTGTTAATATCTCTCTTTAAGTTTCCTTCAACTCACTGGCTTACTCAATAATGGGGTAGGTGATATAGATGTTGACCTCATTATGTAGGTAGAGCTTGACACACAGGAAGCTCAGACATTTGGCTTTGCTTAAAATGAATCTTTAATAGATACTCTTTTATTCTTCACAAAATTTAATTGCACATTACCTACCAAACTCCACTACATAATCTCTCCAAACACTAGAATCCCAAAGAAAAACTGACTTGAGATTTTCTCTCACTTCATTCTTCTTTAAAATACAATTCACTTCTCATTGCACTCAAATTCCAAATTTCTTAACAAAGAGTTTCATCTATCTATCTTTCTAATTTTATTTTCGCCACTCCATTTTCACCATGGACTAACCCCCAGTGGCCTCCTTCTGGTAACTCCAACCAGGTTCCCTCCCCTCCCCCAGCTCAGGTCTCCCCTCACCAACTTAACAAAAATTTAGTTATATGTTTTATTACTGTTTTCAATGTCCATCCTCCAACATAATACATATTCTAAAATGACAAGGACTGTCATTATCTTCTTAGGTTTACCAGCAGCATCTACAAAGAGAGAGAAGAATGTGGATGTTAAATAAATATTTAATGCTGGGTTGAGTAACAGAAGAGAGAACAGAAGTCATTATAGAGAATGGCCAACCAACTCTTGGAAAGATGAGTGGACCAGAAGGGTATCCTGAGAAGTTATGCATAGCCTTAAAGACTACAGATAAGATGTAAAATCTTGATTTAAAAATGAGAAGCACACAGAAATAGAAAGAATATGGGAAAGTACCGAGGGAAAAAAAATCTCTTCTCTGCCTTTTTAGAATTGCATTGTAGTAAAAAGAACGACACACTTATGGATTTATTTCTTTTCTAATATATTTTCAATTTAGCATAATAGGTCATGTTTTGCACTGAAATTATATTAAGAAAATCTAAATTCCTCATCAAACCTATGAAATTAGTTGTATACTTTTCTCATACATTGTCCATATTTTCCACAAAATTTTGAAAAGTATTCATCACTCTAAAGAAGCCCTGTTTCAAAGCAGGTCTGTTGATTATACTCATATTGCAAATAAAACTTTAAAGTGTTTCATACGTATAGTCACATTTGAAAATTCTGTAAAATTGATAAAGCAGTCCAGATATAGCTAACTACAAATTTCAAGAGAAAAGTACAAAAAACTATGAAATAAAATTAAAACTGTCTTGCCTATGAACAGAAGTTAGTTTATAATGACTTAAAGCAAAATTAGAGTTCTATTTCCATGTTATTTCTACTATACTATATTACTGCTCATCATTAAGGATTTGAAATAGCTCTAGAACATACACAGTGTTAAGCAATTGAAAATTTACAAGTTAATATTTAAGTAGAGTACAAATCAGATGAAATTCTAACTACAAAGTGATACTGGGACAAGTGACCAAGTAAGTCATTCCAGATGCTAGGAGCTGGGAACAACTGGAATGTTTTCATGGAATCTTCTTTTGATATCTTTAAAGTAGATAAAAATGTGACTTCTGGATTAAAAAATTAATTTCACATGGAGTAACAATATCTTGGCCAACATCTTGGATACATGAGAAGGTGGTTGGAACATAAAACACCTAACGATCTCAGTGTCCTTTGTTGATAATTTAGGCAGAGTACTTTTTTAAAAGGTTGTAAAAGCAACAGTGGGTTGTGGGGGCTAGTTCAAGATAGCAGAATTGGAGGCTCAAACCATATTTCTGCCCATTGTCTGCTTTAAAATTATCTTCATAAAAGACTACATATTGAGTATAGTGCAACACTGCTCAGGGATGGGTGCATTGAAATTTCAGAATTTACCACTAAAAAACTCATCTGTGTAACCAAAAACCACCTGTACTCCAAAAACTATTGAAATAAAAAAAGAATAAGAAAATATCTTCAATCACTGTTATTTTTAGCTTTATAAATTCCTTTGTAATTATGTAAATTTCCATATATAGTAAGAAGAACGCTATGACAATAAAAAGATCAACGTGGCTTTTGGCTTTGTCATATACCCAGTGATGGTTTTCATTCATATTTTAGAATCAAAACATGTACCTGAATAATAGTCTTTCACAAGGCAGGACACTAGGTGATTTACTACAAAAACATCATAAACTATTTCTTTAATTTTAGGTAATGTGTTATTGGTTAAAAGGCATTTATTTATAGACTTGTATGCTAAAATATTGCACTAAGTTTAATAGAAATTATTTTAAGAGAATATAATAGTGTTAAAAATCTGAATTGATTACTTACCATCGATCACATTAGTCAAAGATTAATACCATTATCTATCAGGTATGATTAAAGCAAAAAAAAGAAAGGTGGGGTGAAGTAAAACAAGTAGCAGAATGGTTGAAAAAAAAAAGAGCCAATATTTTCTATCAGGATTTAAAAAATCAAAGACAATAAAGAGATCTGTTCGAAAAAATCAGAGACAAAATCAATTGAGACTTGATTCCACTTCTCATTCATCCTACCTGCTCACATCTCAAACGTTGCAAAAGACACATCCTTTGGGGGATGAGACCCAGGAGTATGCAAAAGGAGAAGATATGGCTCAGCTGTTTGAGATGATGGCAGACAAAAATAATTTTGGTTTTGAAAGAATGTCTTCAGAAAAACGTGATGAAGATGTTTATAATTAACATCCACAATAGGTTTTAATAACTGGCAGACATTGGGCTAATTGAGCTGTACTCATTAGATTATGCCATTCTTGCAATTATTTTATGAGGGACGTATATCCATTCTCTCCTTTCTCCAGTTTAAAATTAAAAGTTCTACGAATATAACTTTCCTTTTTCATAAATTTAGTAGGTGGAATAGTAATCATTCCAAACCAGACTTATTCAGTTCTAGAGCATGAGATGTTAAACCCAATACTATAGTAATATGTTTTATCTATGATCAAAGTCTGTGAAAAACAATACTTTGAGGAAAAAGAAAAAAGATTAATATTACTGTTCAATGCTGAGTGTTTCCTAAGAATTAACATAGTATCAGAAGCTTTTTTCTATTTATTTTCAAACTTTTGTTACATTTTACCTTATTACATAATTAATACAGGCTTATCATCTCAGATATCACAGAAATATTATCTATGAAAATCGATACTTCCATTACTTATAAATCATGGAAAATATTCACTGTTAACTGCTAAATATTTATCTAAAACTCTTGAGGTCAAATACATTTCTGGAGCCAAATTTTTCAGGTTTTAGAAAGCTAAGAAAAAGAAATTCCAAACTCAATAAAATACCAGCAAGGACTGGGCGACTACCATGTTATTCAATACAATATTACATTAGCAAATTATGTGCATACTTGAAGTAATTAAAATAATGATTACACATCACCTCATATCAATTTAGGTCAAGATTTCCTGCCAAATGAATTCAAAGCTAGTTAGTTTTTGTCACCAAATACATTATGAAAACAATTTAGACCTCTATATATTTCAAAATTTCAGATAAATAACTATGAAGATGCACTGTATATATTTTCTGCAACTTGATCTTTTTCACTCAATCTTTCTTAGAATACTTGTTTGGGAGTTATCAGAGAGAGATCCACATCATTCATTTTAATAGCTGTATATTAGTCCAATGTATGGATGCATCATAGTTTATTGCTAGTGATAAAAATTAATTTTGGTTATTCATCAAACTAATTTTGACCTCATTTATCTCTTCTATAGCTTTCATCACCTATCATAATCTGTATGAACCATGACTCAAATTAATTTTATTAAGCCACTTTCTTGGACATGTTTCTTGCACAATAATTCAAAAACTGATATTCACCCTAAAATGTGCTGTGTGATTTCACATGCCATTTCATGAAGAGTTAATCTGTACAACAAACCCCCAAGACATACAAGTTACCTGTATAACAAACCTGTATGTGTGCCCTTGAACCTAAAAGTTAAAAAAAAATAATAAAAGTATAACTAGTTTTAAAAATAAACAAACCAAAAAAAAAGACACTTGAAAGCAAGATATTTTTTATTCTAACTGATTCTCTCTAAAATAGGTGTGTGGCTTAAGCTCCCTTAGAGTAAATAACTTCATAATTAAAATGGGAGGGGGTTAAATAACTGGTTTCTAAAAGTCTGTGCCTTTATAATGCAGTGTTCTCTCAAAGTTTTCAGAATATGGAGCACATAGAAAATAATACTGTTACCTTTGACATATCTTGGGATAAAGAGAAAACAATACGCTTGACAGCTCTGGCTGCCTCAGGACCTACTTGGGCACTCTAATAACTGAGTTGATCGACATTTCTGATACAACAGTTGAGAATCTTTGCTATAAAGTATTGATGAAATCTATTTGGCTGCTGTGCAAGTGACTTTATCATATGAGCTCAGCTGTAGACTTCAAGAATCAAAAGGTTTTTACATTCCCCAGGAGTATCTGATCTTTGAAAGATGATTTGTAAAGAAGACCATTTAGACATAAACTATGTAGATACAAAAGTCCATGGTAGTTCCACAAAGTTTTTTGCTGTCTAGGCCGTTACCGTTGTGTTGTTTTCTTTTCTTCAGAATTTAGCTTTACTGAGTTGTCTAAGATGCTCATTTTTGGCTATCTTGCTGAAACTCCCAGAAGCAGAAGGCAAAATGTGGAGAAAAGACATATCTACCTCCCTTAAAGGATGCTTTCCAGAAATTCTCACCTGAAGCTTTGTTTGCATCTCACTGGGCAGAGGTCAGACTTATTTCTGTTCTGCAAAAGATAGATTCAGAAATGCAAGCAGTCTTGATCTCAAATGACCATGTCCCCAGTTAGAGTCTGTGGGCTCTGTTAGTGTGGAAAATTCAGAGATGATATAAAATGGAACAAAATCTTGTTGTTAGGAATGTAGTTGGTATATATAGCTCTGTAAGAAAAGGAGTGCGTGCTTGACAATTCTTCAGTACAAATTGAGTTACACATTGTGCTACTTTAATTGCAAATAAAGTCAGGAGTACACACACTAGACACAGGTGTTTTATAGTCAAACCGTCACTCTTGTACACAAGTGGTGAGCGAACTTCATTTAACTATTTACCATCTCCAAACTTCTATTCTATCATCTATTAAGTAAATGAGTTGAACTACATAAACTTTATAGAATCTTCTAACTCTAGAATTCTAGACTTCGGGCAATATTAGGTGAATCATCTATCACTAAAATGAAATATATGTGAATTAATTGTTCATGTTATTTTTTAATTGTAATTTAAATTGCAGAGTTTATTTGGAAAATGTTCTCCAAGATAATGACGTTTTTTGAAGGAAAGATATGATTTTCAATGTTCTTTAAGTAGAGGAAATGGCTTTTTGATCGTCTACAAGCAACTTAAAATATATATAAAGTTTCAAAAGCTTGAAATTTGTTAAAGACCATGCGAAAAGATCTAATGCTATAAAACAATTCTCTTAATTTAGCTTTTCAAAATATCATAACTTTCTATCTCAAATGTGCTCTAGATAAATTTAAGAGTAGTTATAAATTCAAATGTTTATTTTGCCTCTATTCCTTATTTATACCAGGTAGTAGATTCATTAAATTGCATATACTTTGAAATTATCTGTGCAAATATGCAAGTTAAATGTCATTATACGAAGTATTGTTGCAGTGTTGCTAAAATAAAATAGTCAGGAGTTAGATTAGCAATTCAGAGGAGCTACTTTTAAACTTTCTGATTAAAAAATATTTAAATTTTTGTTTTCAGATTATATGGATTAAAAACCAATGAGTACATCTGATTAGCCAAATTAGTTTTTAAATGAGTGATTATTTCCTTGCTAAATAACACAATTTTCACGTTTGATTGTTATAATACTTATTTTGACAAATGTAAGAACGTAAAGGTTTTGAGATCACTTCTTCAGCTAATGAATCCCTGAGCTTGCATTAGGCAGTCAAACAACCAAGCTTCTATCTGCAAATCTATGGAAACTTTTGCCTCTGACGCATTGCTTTGTCATAACCATGCTCTGATCCCAAAGTTGTTAGATTTCTTCTCATACTCTCAGCTCTTCAATAATGAAGACCATCTTCCACCGAATATTCAACACCTGTAAGATGGACATAGAACTCCATGTGAGGGACATGGTGATGGTTCCTGTACAGTGCAGCGTAAAGCTGATTGAGGTTATGCAGGGTCGACAACATGAAGAGATGAGTTGAGCCTGAGTGCTCAACTGTGACGTGGGATCTGGGGTGAGTCTTGGGATCAAGACTTGAGGGCCTTGAGTCTTTAGAAGAATTTATTTGCAAGATTGCAACAAGCTGTGAATCAGAGCAACATCTTACAAGCTTCGGTTACCAAAAGAAAATATTCTAAACAAGTGGTAGAAAACTTTAAACAGAATGGAATCGTCTTCGTAATTTTTGAGCTCCTGGGTGCAACACAGCTGCCCTGCTGCAGGGTGATTTTTCTGTCTTTAAGGAAGAAAGTAGGCAGGAATGAAGTTAGGCAAAAATACAATTTTTATAATGCTGACAAGTTAACAATTATACTCCAAAGTGACAGTAAAGCATGAGGTCTTTAAATATAAACAAATAATACATTATCAAATTTAAGGGCCTAATTTTCATAAGTCCCTACAATAGATGCTCTCATTAGAAGAGAATGCTTACCTGTAGTCTGGAGGAAAATGTGTATTATTATTTATTTCAGAGAACTTTGACAATAAAAGAAAATTATTCTCTTCTTATGCTTTAGGGAATCAACTTTATAACTTCTCACAGCTGCAAAGGTTTATAAGTTACCTAGTTTAGTGGATCCTAATCTTTTAGATTTTGCACAACAGAGACAGATTTTTGTTTCTTGCTTGTTTTTATTGCTATTTGTGCAATGTTCTTAGTAAGGTGGTTTACATTGAGATGGTCATGTTTATAATTGTATTAATAGAGGCCATTTTCAATATGAAATAAACAAGCAAAAAACAACATCTTAATATCACTTTCACCTTCATTTCATAAAATGTAAAACATTTTAGCACAAAAAATGTAAGAAATTATACATATCAAGTAAGAACAATTTTTGCCATGAATCTAATAAATCTTCTAGACTTACTTTCAGCTTATAG
Organism: Homo sapiens; assembly: GCF_000001405.40. Lineage (NCBI taxonomy): Eukaryota > Metazoa > Chordata > Mammalia > Primates > Hominidae > Homo > Homo sapiens. The sequence continues at coordinate 37,735,266 of NC_000011.10, read as the reverse complement.
GAAATACAGGGATAGAGGACAAATTTATATGCACCATGAGGGAACAATAAGAAAAATCTAAGAGGGCATTCTATAAGATAATGTGACCTTCATTCTTTAAAATGTCATTGCTATGGGGAGAATAAGTTTGAGGCACTGTTCTGGATTAAATGAAACCAAGGACAAAAGCAATCAAGGATGATGCATAAACCTCAAATTTCTCTTGGTTCAGAGAAAAAATAAAAAGCTATAGAAGACATTATACAAAAAGTTAGACATAGAATTGCCATATAACCTAACAATTCCACATCTAGATATATCCCAATGAGAAATGAAACATATGTCCACACAGACATATGTTCACACAAAAACTTGTACATGAATGTTCATAGCAGCATTATTCATTATAGCTGAAAAGTGGAAACCACCTAAATATCTAAAAACTAATGAATAAATTAGTCCACCCACATAATAGAAAATGTTCTTTCGAACATAAAAAAGAATAAAGTACTGATGCTAGCTACAACATGGATGAATCTCGAAAACATCACGCTAAGTGAAAAAAGCCACACTCAAAAATTACATAATGTATGAATCCATTTATAGGAAATGTCAAGAATAGGCAAATTCAGACAAAGTAGATTAATGTTAGTCAAGGGCTGGGGGAAGGGAGAATGAGGAGTGACTGCTAATAGGTTTCTCTTTCAGGTGATGGAAATATTCTATAATTAGATAGTGATGATGATTACGTAATTCTGTAAATATACTAAATGTCACTGAACTTTACATTTTAAAAATATGGCAAAAATTATGTCATGCAAGTTAAATCTTGAAGTTTAAAAAAACAAAATAAATTTTGGGTACAAGTTGATAATATGATGTAAATGTCAGTAATTTTCTCAGATGTGTTAATGGTATTTGGTTTAGAAAAAATAACTTCCTTATTCTTAGGAGACAACTGCTGACATATACTGACGCTGACTGCCATGTTGTTGGTCAGCTCACATTCAAATGGCTGAACCCATAAAACAGAATCTCTTTAAGCAAATATGACGGAAGGTTAACAATGGCTGTGTCTGGCTGGGGGATATATGGATGTTCCTTATACTCTTGGCTCAACGCTGGGTGTTGTTTGGAAAAATCAACAAAAAAGAAATTATCTGGAAATAAATACAGGACAGATGTAATCCACATAAAATAAAAGGATAGTACTTTATAATATATTTGACTTTATAAAAGTTTCACTTTTTAATCTTTTTGTTTTTCACTTTCTTATGGAATAGTGAAAACCCCTTGGTACACATCTGAGAACCAGAGTTGGAAACTTGCTGTCCTGGAGAGGCTCCACATGTGGCGGTTGAGAGGATGAGTTTGAGCATAGTGCCCTTATTTGGATTCGAATTTTGTATTCTGTTGGCTTTTGCTCACAAAGTGATTTTGAGCAAGTTGCTTAAATTTTGTTACTCAGTTTACCCATCCATATAAATTGGGTTGGTATTAATGTTGCCTATCACACAGAATTAAATGAGTTAATATTAGTACACATACTGTAAAACGTTTACAATAGTATTTGTTAGGTAGTATGTGCTATGCATTTGTTAAATAATAAAAACCTATCTCTTTATGAAAATGAAGGTAATAATGTAAAAGTTAAAAATAAACATGTACTGACTATTTTAAGTATCCATTTCACTCCTGATTATTTGTGCAGGAAAAATAAATGCATACCTTCATACAAAGGCCAGTACACAAATAACCCCGGTTTTATATTTTGTTTTTTGTAGCAGCCCCTGACTGGAAATAACGTATGTGTCTATCCACAAGTGAACTAATAAACAAATTCTGGTAAATTGAATCTGGTTTATTGAATACAACAATTTTAGCAATACAAAAGAATAAATTATATGTATATTTTACCTCAATTTTTAGAAGTGTACAAAGAAAAGATGAACTATTGTTACACACAAAACCATGACTGAACCTCAAAATAATAATTATGCCAAATGCAAGAAGCTAGAGAATAAGAGTGCACACTGTATGAGTCTACTTACATAATATCTTAGGAAATGCAACTGTGTTAGGCCATCCTTTTCCTACTATAAAGAAATACCTGAGACCGAGTAATTTATAAACAAAAGAGGTTTAATTGACTCACAGTTCTGCAGCCTGTACAATCATGGTGCTGGCATCTGCCTAACTTCTGGGGAGACCTCAGGGAGCTTTTATTTATGGCAGAAGAAACGGCAGAAACAGGCATATCACGTGGCAAGATAGGGAGGAAGAGAGAGGGGGAGAGGTGCCACACACTTTTAAACAACCAGATCTCACGTGAAATCATTCACTATTGTGAGGACATCACCAAGAGGATGGTGCTAACCATTTAGGAGAAATCTGCACCCATGATATAATCACCTCCCACCAGATCCCATCTCCAATACTGGGGATTACATCTCAACATGAGATTTGTAGGGGACATCAAACTATATTAGTAATCAATAAAAGAAAATCAATAATAACATGAAATAAAATCAATAGTGACAGAAAACATTTTTTTCTGGGAACAAGAAGCTGGTCAGGAAAGATAGGAGAAAGGAATTATCAAAGAACTAGAAGAAGCTTTTGCAGATGTTGGTTATGTTCATTTTCCATTGATTGGGTAATGATTTCAAATGTACACATGTATATACCTATAAAGAAAATTTATACATTATATATGCATAACAGACACACATCCTTTATCAAATTATAAAGTTGGCATACATATAGTTTACTATATGCCAATTATATTTTAAGCTGTTACAAACAAATTCAGAAAATGTTCACTTAATTGCCATTTTTGAGAGTTCACTGAGATAAATCACTCACGTTAAATTTTGTAACCAGTTTTATTTTGTATATCTTGAGATGAGAGTGAACAGTGTACTACTCAGATGAATGAGAAATTAGACTTAAAAATAGAGTAATTTATAAGTAGAGAAAGGGTTATTTCTTTACTTCAGTTTCTACAAAGAAACTTGGAGCTGAGCTTATAGGTTTAAGTAGTTTCACGATTTATGCGATTTAATAATAGATCTCAAATTTTGATATTTTTACATAAGATTTTCCTGAAGAAGTTCATCTAGGTGCAACATGTATAGATGTTTTGCCTCTTATCAGCAACCAGCTATGCATAAATTCAACTAGCATTTTAGAGAGGTGTTAAAAGGGGTCTGATGAGCATCCAGTATAATTTTATCTTAACAATGTGCTATTTGCATTAAATTTTTAAAAAGTGAATTTCTACCATAACTTCCACTTTCCTAGGTCTTCACAAAACAGCCTATTAGCCTAAATCAAAGCATAAGTTAAATGATTCTGCAAAGGTCCTTTCATGATTACTCAATATGTAAATACTGACATTAGCTGAGTAAGAGTGTGTGTGTGTGTGTGTGTGTGTGTGTGTGTGTGCGCGCGCGCGCGCGCGCACGTGTGTGTTTACCACAATCTTTTATTCTAATTTCTTTCCAGTAAATTTATAATAAGAGAAGTAGTCAGGAAAATGTCCCCTAGAATTTTATTTTGATAGGTAATGAAAATCACTAATCATTAAGTAAGTTAACATTTTCAAAGTGCTTAGAAAATTGCCTAGCATATACAAAACTATGTAAGTGTCTGACAAGGAAAAAGAAGTAAATAAATACTTTGAAAAGCATGATTGGTTAATCACATATCCATATTTCATGAAAATTATATGCTTTGGGTCTTCTGAGTATTGCAATTATCCGTGCTCTCTTTTCATGTGTATAATTGGATTATTGGATTTTAAGGCCTGAAAAAAAGACATAAAGAGAAAATATATATATTTTCAACATTAGTGTATTTACTCCATTTCTACTTTCTCTTCCTACCCAATGGGTTGTCTCTGGTTCTGCCTCGTCACAAAGGAAGGGTCATATGGAAGATGCAAAAAATGATCTACATAGCAGACACAGTTAATCTGGTTAGTGTCCTTTGATTTTGAAAAATGTCCAAATGTTGGTCCTTTCTCTCAAGGCTTGCATATTAAGAATATTCATACCCACTTCCCCCTTTTGATAATCACTCTTTATATCCAACCATCTGAACACTGTTTTCTCTCCTTCCTTCCTTCTCTCTTTGCACTCTTTCTTAGTGTGGAGGATATAATTTCTGGATGGAACGTTTGAAAAATGTTCCATACTCAGTTCTTGTCTGGGAAAGATTTAATACTCCACTTCCTTTTGGGGTAAATTAGAATGCATAATAAAATGCTTCAGCCACTTCTTGACTAACTTTAATTGAATTAATGCTTGTTCTGGCACATTCTTTACTTACTTCCATGAATGTCAATAAATATCAGTAGATTGTCATTCAACTCTAATGATTTTACCAAATACTCTGTTCTTTTTGTTTTAAACACTTATTCTCTTACAATTCCCTTTTTCTTATTAAGTAGTGCCACCAAGAGTGAATTTTTGAAGGAGCCTAGTAGAGGTATTTCTCTATGGGTCTTTAGTACTTTAAAATGGATTTGAAACTGAATTGTTTGAAATGATATTTTAGCATAACATATGACTCTCCCATCCCATGCTTGTTTCTTCTCCCTACATTTCATGAAGATTCTTTCAGTTGGAGTCTCAAAGCAGAACTCTTCAAGAGGGTGAGGTTCTCAGCCATGAGGCTGCATCTTTAGTCCCCTTTTGTGGGACTGACTCTGCCCATTCTGGACACAGAAAATACAAATCTCTGGTCCTATCCGTGGGCATGCAATTCAGTCTCAATCAGCTTTACTCCCTTAGACTTTTCTAGGTAAGAGGCATATACTCATTTTCTCTTCTGCAAACTTCAGATAACACATGAGAACCTTTCTAAGTGGTTGTGTTGAAGGCACCTTCACTTGGCTTAAAATGGCCAGTGTACCTGCTCCTATCCTGTTGGACAAGGGAGAAGAGCTAGACAGTTATTCAATAACACACTCCCAAGAAGTCCTCAACATGAATCCCTTCACAATCAGTGTTGCCCAGCCCTACCACTATGTTTGGCTTAAGTCTGCTTAATGGTTGAGAGGCCCAGAAAGCCAAAGGCCACCCTGATGGCAAGTCCTCCATAGGCAGTAAAATATTTCTCCTATAAAATACGGATATTGATACCTAATTCAGTTTAATTATGGAACTTCAGCCTAAACTAAGAATTAAAACAGTCTCCTTTTAATTGAATTAAGTGTGTAAATAATATAATGTTATTGTTACACAATGATGCTTCTCACAGACATCCCTGAAAGCAAGTTCAATAGATTCTTTGATCATCTGCTTCAATAGATTTCTATAAATGACTTTGAAATAGAAGTCACTGATAAAGACTGCTCATCAAAGAAAAAAAATCTTTCCATTTATCATCAGAAAAAGAAAAAGAATGAAAAATGTTTTATTTACATATGACATACTAAGATGAAACTATTCTTTATTGTGGAAAGATTAAATTTATGGTCATGTCTTATAAACAAAAAAAGTCTGAAAGACAAGTATTTAAAACTAAAGATTCATTCATCTTTTCTTGTCATAAGAGATTGAAAAATCATTAAATCTACACTGAATCCCCTTTAGCTCATTATTTTTAAGACTGTTTTATGACTAGCCCTGGAGCTTTTTATGGGAAATAGCTTACAGAAGAAGAAAACATGTGTGTCTTATTTCTGAGAGTTCTTTTGTTGTCCCAATAAACCACCCCAAGGTGTCTGGGAAATTAAAACACTCTCACATTCAAGCTATAGCTCTTACCTAGTTATTTTACTAAAATTCTATGTCAGATCACATCTGATTGTTCATTTGTAATATATAGTTCCTGCATTAATATTCCACTCTTATATTGAGTGGTACCGGCAAGAGCATACATGTAGTTTTCTGTCAAGTCTTAAAAATCATCATAATTATTGTGTATAAAGTTTTGCATATAAATTTTTCTTGTCTAATTTCTGAAATATTTTATTATTTTATTCATTTTAAAAGAGTTCACTGTGTTTCAGACCTCAGGATATAGTAACAGGGTATAAGTTCTGAAGCATTTTTCTAATCTTTACAAAGAAATTAAAAGATGCTTTGCCCAGCATTAATATTTTCATATTTTCCCCATGTACTTATTTAATTTCATTATTGGAATAATTATTTAGTTTACTTTAGATCTTACCACAGTATTTTAGGAAAACTACTGTCATTACTATTGCCTTATGTAGTAAGTAAATTACAGCATGAAATCATATTTACACACCTAAGATGAGTGTATAAGACATGGATGTTCTAAATTCTGTACAAATGTTTTAGGGCCAGTGCCATTAGCTTTACGTTATATTACCTCCTTACCAAAATTTTAGTTCTTTGAGGAAGTAGAAAACTTCTCATTTTTTCCAGGTATGTTATATAAAATTCAGATTAGTATTTCAAAGACATCCAAAAATGCTGAGAGAACTTAGGTCAGATTTAAAAGGGGTTACTGTATTTTTTAAAAATGAAGAACAGGTTCTTTGCACAGGCTTTTGAATCAGATATACTTGGGTTCACAATTCTGACAATCCCTCTTTCACATTTCCTTTTAATTTACTCACTGCATGACCTTGAGAAAGGTACTTAAATTTTCTGGGAACCACATTTCTTATCTTCACAATGGTATGAGATGATGTGAAGAAATAAGAACACTTTTACATGGTTGGTGGGAGTGTACATTAGTTCAACCACTGTGGAAGACAGTGTGGCGATTCCTCAAGGATCTAGAACTAGGAATACCATTTGACCCAGGATTCCCATTACTGGGTATATACCAAAATGATTATAAATCATTCTACAATAAAGACACATATGTTTATTGCAACACTGTTAACAATAGCAAAGACTTGGAACCAACCCAAATGCCCATCAATGATAGACTGAGTAAAGAAAATGTGGCACATATACAACAAGGAATACTATGCAGCCATAAAAAGAATGAGATCATGTGCTTTGCAGGGACATGAATGAAGCTGGAAACCATCATTCTCAGCAAACTAACACAGGAACAGAAAACCAAACACCACATGTTCTCACTTATAAGTGGGAGCTGAACAATGAGAACACATGGACACAGGAAGGGGAACATCACACACCAGGGCCTGTCACGAGGTGAGGGGCTAGGAGAGGGATGGCATTAGGAGAAATATCTAATGTAGATGACAGGTTGATGGGTGCAACAAACGACCCTGGCACCTGTATAACTATGTAACAAAACTGCACGTTCTGCACATGCATCCCAGAACTTAAAGTCTAATAATAATAATAATAATAATAATAATAATAATTTGTTTACATAGAAGTACTGCTTTGATGATTGTATAAAACAAAATAGCTACAGTCTAGTATGGTTTGTAGAAGAGTATTTCTTAAACTTCTTTATGCATTCAAACCACCAGGGAATTTTGGCAAAATGTTGATTTTTGATTCAGTATGTGCAAAGTGGGGCCCAAGAGTCTGCATTTCTAAGAAGTTCCTTCATGGTCCTTTGACTGCTCTTTTGGTTGCAAAGTCCTAGAAGTTTCTCATTAAGTAATATCTATTCTACCTTAATAATAATTGTTTTCTTTGATTGCCAATATGTTCTCATTTTATTGAAAGGGGTTCTGGAAATGCCACCCCAAGATATGCTGCTGTGGTACACTGATTACTTAAACTGAGCGTGCCTGGAAAACAGCCAACACAGAGAGGGCCTTTCTCTGAACTTCCTTTATTTGCCTAATGATGTGTCCTCTAAAGAGAAGTAAGTTATTATCAATCTCCTGCTCAGGAATCGCATCAACCAGCAAAGATTAATTCAGACCATAAGAGGGAAGACTGGAGGTCAGCACCATCCCCAGACAGAATTTCTCACAGGCTATCATCTATTTTTTTCTGGGGGCTCATTTATCTTTCTCTGAGATCGTTCACTCTCCCTTAAATTACTGATATTTCTCCTCCCCTCTCCCCTATAAAGAGGGTGTTTAAGCTTCCAGATCTCACTGGGTTTTTGAATGTTCACTTTTCTTTTCTGTGATGTCCCTGTGCACATATTTGTATACATTTTTGCCTGTTAATCTGCCTACTCTCAGTTTATCTGATGGGGTCAGTTATCAAATCCTCAGAAGATAGAGGAAAAGATTTCCCTCCTCTATACTTTATAAAAAATAACAAACTCTTTCATTTTTATATTAGTAATCCATTACTCTTAGAAGTGTATTTTCTTTTCCTTTTTTGTTACTTTATTATTTTATTTTAAAATGTATGTATTTAAGATGCACATGATGTTTTGATATATGTATACACAGTGAAATGATTACTACAGTGAACAAAATTATATATACATATGTGTGTGTGTATATCTCCTGGTGTGTGTGTGTGTGTGTGTGTGTGTGTAATGAGAGCACTTGTAATCTACTCTTCTAGCAAATTTCTAGTGTAAAATAGTTTAATTAACCATAGTCAGCATGCTGTACTTCAGATGTTTAGAATTATTCATCCTACATGATTGAAACTTTGTACCTTTTTAACCAACATTTTCCAATTTCCCCCACCTCTCTAGTCCTGGCAACCACTATGCTACTCTCTAGCTCTATGAATTTGACTTTTTAAGGTTCTTCATGCAGTATATTTCTTTCTGTTTCTGGATTATTTCACTTAGCATAATGTCCCCCTTGTTCATCCATGTTGTTGCAAATGGCAGGATTTTCTTCTTTTTAAAGGCTAAATAGTATTCACATTTATGTGTGTATGCATATCACATTTTAAGAAAAGAATTTTTCTTGTTTTATGAGCATAAAACTCAATAGCATACATTTCACCCAGTTCGGTGGCAAGTTCTTTAGCCTTTGCCATTTCCAGGTTGGCAATGCAAGCCACAGATTTTGTACCCAGGATATTTCCTTCCCAGAGAGGATGATACTTCATCATATCTGTCCTTGTCATCGGTCATGATAGCTTCCACCAGTTTAGCCAGAGCTCCTTTTTCTTTCGAGGTAACCTGTGTGTGAAGGCAATGGTAGTGCAGGTCTTTCTGTGTACTAGAGTCCAGTCTGGCCTTCCCATAGTTAATGCAATGGAACCACCCATCTTCTGACACAGGGCAGATACATCCAGCTCTGTGGGATCTGTGTCATATGCAGTCACCACCAGCTGAGCCTTCTTGTTCTCCACCAAAGTGGTGTCAGTGCCAATCTCTGCTTCAAGAATAGGAGGTCTCTTAGTGGGACATCCTGTTTACCAGCAGCTTTCTTTTCAGCCTGAACTAACAACCTCTGCTTGTTCTCATGCTTTGTGTCTGGTCTGTACTTGTGGGCCAGCTTAAGCAGTTGAGCCCTTGTTTAGCAGCTCAAGGCCTGGGTGAACTGGTTAATTGCAAGAGCCACTTTCAACCTCATTTAGAAAGTAGCCCTTTTCCAGGGCAACTGGACATAGCAGTGCCATATGACAAGGTGGGTAAGGTCCCTTTTGGGCAGGTTGTCCCGTCCAAGGCCAAAATTCTTAGGTCTTTTCTCTAAGAGGAGATTTACCACCTTCTTGGTCTGCTGCTTCTTCACAACAGCAGGAGCTGGAATCCCCTTCTTTTCCTTGCCCTTCTTTCCTATTGGCATCTTGAGCGACTGAAGGAGAGACTATACCATATATTCTTTGTCCCTTTATCTGTTGATGGGCACTTAGGTTGTCTCTATACCTCAGCTATGGTGAATAATATTGCAATGATCATAGGAATGCAGATACCTCTTTGAAGTACTGATTTCATTTCCTTGGGTGTATATTCAGAAGGGAGATTGCTGGTAGTTCTGTTTTTAATTTTTTTAAGGAAACTTCATACTATTTTTAATAAGGGCTGTATGAATTTACATTTTGCCAGTGATGTACAAGGATTGTCTTTTCTCCACTTTCACCAATAATTATCTCTTATCTTTTTGATGATAGTCATCATAACAGGTATGGGATGATATTTCCTTGAGGTTTTGATTTACATGTACCTGATGATTAGAGATATTTAATATCCTTTCATATACCTCTTGGCCATGTTTTATGTCTTCTTTGTAAATATGTCTATTTAGGTCTTTTGCTCATTTTTAATTTATGTATTTTTTTGCTATTGAACTGTGCTTCTTATATAGTTTGGATATTAACCCTTTATCAGATATCTGGTTTGCAAATATTTCCTTCCGTCCATAAGTTGGTTGCCTTTTCATTTTATGATTGCTTCCTTTGCTGTGCAGAAGATTTTCAGTTTGATGTAAAACCGCTTGTTTTGATTTTCTTTTTTTCTGTTGTCGCCTGAGCTTTTGGTGTGATATCCAAAACACCATTGTCTGTCAAGGAGCCAACGTCAAGGAGCTTTTCCTGTGTGTTTTCTTCAAGAAGTTTTATGGTTTCAGGTCATACTCTTAGGTCTTTAACCCATTTTGAGTTGATTTGGAGTACTTTAGATCTCAGATCTCACAAATGAGCTGATGTGTCAAGACTCAATCATGGAGTAAAAATACAAATGTCAGGAAAAATTTTTGCTACATGTGACCCAACTGCTAAACAAAAAAAAAAAAACTATGTTTTTAAAAGTGTAAATAAGATTTCGATAAGTATGAGACAGAAACAGAGATCTGAATATGTTCTAATGTTATCAATTGCTGGAAGGGTTTACAAACCTTAGGAAATTTGGCAGAGGCAAAGACGGATTGACGTTGCTTTAGTTGTTCAGATTTTTTGTTTATTTTAAGATCCTATCCGCACACAACAGTGCCAGAAACAATATGGAAATTGACAGAACATTAAATCCCCTTTAGAGGAAAACTGATAAGCTACAGGCAGTGGAATGCTGAGAGACAGATGAAGGGACTTTAGGTAATCAGAGCAAAAATTGCTGCCTGATGGGATCCCAGCAGCAAGAACTTCATTTTGTAAAATACTTGATGACTTTTTATGGTGCTATAGCATTTGGGCTTTATGTTGTATGATATTCACCCAGTGACAGGCTGACCCTCTTCTCCTCCAATAAGTTATCTGTTCTCCCTAGAAAAGTAATTCTGTTGCTGTCTTGCCAAAGATGAACTCATGAATCAGTGATGTGGGCAGAGGTGGCATCCCAGATAGCATTCTGAAAAATCCATAAATTCTTTAAGAAAGATCTTTTCTCTACTGCTGTCGGGTGCTATTATTCCTAAATCACACAATTCTATTTGGAATCTTGAGGTGGTCTGGAAAAGTGCCCTAAGGAGCTAAAGGAAGAGAAAACTATGAAAACAAAAGTGCCAGAGAGATAGGATATTTTATTATTGCACAAAGGTCAAGAAGAAAGATGTAGGGCATGTCACTTTCAGTAACAATTAAAACACTACAATTTAATTTATATCTGAGCTGTATTACACTCTCAACGAGATACAAAGTTTTAGGATCAATGAGCAATATGTTCTAAGTCAATTTTAAATTTCATTGAACGAAGATCCTCAAATTGGAAAAAAAAAGAGAGATAGAGAGAGAGAGAGGGAGAGACAGAAAAAAGACTTTGTGGAATCTGAGTCCCAATATTTTGAAGAACAGAATGGCCTGCATATGCAAGTTATGTCATATGCATATAAACAAGGATAACTAGTTCTCTATTACCTAAAGACTCTTCTCATAAGTATCTTACGTCTAAAGTACAGTATCTTTAAATTTGGGCAAAGATTCACTCATATATATCCTTGCATGCTTGGCTCCTAACCTTGTCACAGACACATAATTGTTGGTCAGCAGAGAGTATATTAAACAGAAAAATCAGTGATTTTAAGTGTAGTGTAGAGTGGATTGTATGAATTTATATTTGGCAAGATAAATCATTAGGAGAATTAAAAAGAAATACTATGTAAGGTTTTTGCTTCCTTTTATGTTTTCCTTTCCTATGGGCAAAAGTTTTCATTTAATTTGTGATGGCAAATAGCTAGTTGTCCTCACTGGACTTTCTTTTGAAATACTTAAGAAAACACTGCAGAGTATTAACCATAAAACTTGTGAAAACTAAGACTATCTGTAAGAGAATTTCCAATGTCTAGGATGTTTTACCCTAATTAATATACTTAAGCTACAAACCCTGTTAAGGTCAGTCCTTTCCAAGAACAACTCATAGTCATTGATTAGATTTTATCTCTTCTTTTTCTTTATTAATTCAGTCAGTTAACAAGCATAGCAATATGCCAAGTTGGTGATACAATTATGAGTAGTTGGAATAATGGAAGGAGGGTAATGAAAGGGATAATGAAAGGGATCTTTAAGAGTGCTGTTAGAATGCAAACATATTGCAAGCTAAGATAACTGGTATTTTGGACAAATAACAATATTGTATTTAATAGTGAAATAAACTAGATGAATTTTTATCAATATGAGGGAAAATAAGGCATTCATAATATCACTATTTAACAAATCTGGGAGTATTCCTTGACAATTAAATAAGATAAGAAAAGTATTTCTAAGATTTAAGTAACTATTATTTATAGAATACTTATTATCAAATTGAAAGTCTAATGAATATGTTTTGAAACAGTTTTAAATCTCCAGTAAATGTATTTAGCAATATGAGTAGTAACAAAATAAATATAAAATAAAATAAAAATAAATAGCTATAGTGTTTCTGTGCCATACCATATAGTATATCATCAAATAAAAACAGCATTTTAGGAGCAATGAAATAATAAAATTTCTAGGAAGAAAGCTACACACACACACACACACACACACACACACACACTCACACACACACACACACACACATTGATTATATGAAGAAAACTATACTATATTAATGAATGACATTAAAAAGGAAGACAGACACATTGTGAATCATTACCTAGAAAACAGAGAGAGGCAATAATGAGAGAGCGAAGGAAGAAACTAGAACTCTTTTTGATAGTTCGCCTTTAAGAATATTTCAATCAATAGGTGCATACCTGCAAAATTTCCCCAGGTTTGGTCTCACCCCTTTCCCCTAAATAAACTTATTCACTTTTTGGCATTTGTTGATGGTGGCGCTATCTCCCCATTCTTTTATTTCAGCTGTAATATCTAGGAATGCTTTGCCAAATACCAATATTCCAAATTGTTATAATAATTTCTAGGGTGCCTGTTGTAGGAGATGGGAGAATTATAAAGATCTGTTATGGTTTTCTTTTGGTTCCAAGGGACAAACATCTGAGCATAATAAAATTATGAGAAATATCAATTCTTGGATTTCTTTTTCCTCTCCTTGTCTCACCCACTCTCCAGATATTTTTACTTAGAGACAATCAAGGCTACCTGAAATTCAGTGAGTCATTTTTAAATATTGAGGACTACCAAAAAGCCAGCATACTAAAGTTGAAAAAGGAAAATGAGATTGGAATAAATAATAAAGTAGGTGAGGGAAATTATTTAGTTACTCAGTGTGGTCAGTTGGGCTACCTTCTCAGACCAATAATGAGAAATTGGTTGTGTGCTTTTATCTTGCCTGAACCAGAAGGAAAGATCAGCAATACAAGCAGCCAGATATCAAAATCAGAAAAATAAATGACTCCATGCTCATGCTAATAGTAAAGAGATATGAAAAATTCTGCCTAGGATCATTCTGAGCTCATGATGATTCATAGTAGAGATCCAGAAGATAAAATTGTATCCCATTGTGTTTGAGAACTTACGGAGAAAATGTATAATAGTTGTGTTTCATTCAAGAGAATTGTAGGGCCTGAATGCATTTTTTCTTGTCTATATTACAACGTTTAAACTCAGTGTTTACTAGAAATTCAGCACAAATTCCTAGGCTACTGGTTTGGGCTCTGGGTAATATAATCTACCCTTCTATAACACCCTGGGCATGATCATTTAATTTGAGAGTGATACATAGATACTAAAAGGACAGCTCCTATGATCAAGTGACTGAAGTGCAGCATTTATATAAGATGTTGAGAGTGTGCTGTTCTCTGGCCTTCAGAGGCAATAAATGTGGTGCAGCTAGCAACCTTGCTGACTACGGCCTGCTCTTAATATAAATTTTATCATAGTTTCAACCTTTATGTCGATTATGTAAACTAATCAAAATATTTCCAATACAATATTTTCCTGTTTTATTTATCCAGAGTTAATTTCTACTGTTGGCAGACAAGAATTGGCATATAATTCATGTGTATTTATGTGCAAATTTTGTGTCCATTCTAGTTAAAATTCCAAATAAAGCAAAAATACAAATTGTCAACAATATTGTTAAATATTATTCTAGAAATGTGGATCCATTAAGATCACTTGATATAAAAAAGAAGGATAATTTTTGTGATAAAAGCATACCATTATTATTTGTAGATGATATAATTATATAATTAGAAAACTCAGATAATCAACTTAAAATTTATATAAAAAATTTTTAAAATATGAGACAGATATTAGTAACATATATAAAAATCAAATAAAGAATGAATAGCCCAATCAGAAGACAAAATGGAAACAAATATTTCACATACATAACAGAAGAAAATATTCTAATGCCTAACAAAATACGCTTGGGTTTTCCCAATGAGAAATATAAAGTGAATAAAATAAAATGAAACAAAACAAAACAAAACAAATACAAACAAAATCTACCAAACTTTACTGGGAGACATTTATGACCTGAAAAAATATCAGAAGAGTGATATGGGTATTAATTGCTGCATAATAAACCATCTTAAATTAAGTGGCTTAACAATAACCACAGATTCTGTGGTGAGGATTTTAGATGGTACAACAGGGATGACTAGTCTCTCCTCTCCACTATATCTGGAGCTTCAGTTAGAAAAACTCAGAATGTTGTGTTGACTCAAGCAGGTGTGGGCTGAAATTATCTAAAGGTGTATTCATTCATATGTCTGTCATATGTCTGGTAACTGGGATGGAAGAACGCGACGTTTAGGTTGCCAACGTTTAGTATTGTCAACCAAAGCACCTACACATGGCTTTTTTGTGTGTGACTTGTATTTCCCTGTGTCTGGATCCTAAGAGAAAACATCCCCCAAGGAAAGGCTGTAGCCAAGAGCAAGGTGGAAGCTGCATGGTCTTCTCTGAGTCAACCTAAAAGTCACACAGGATCACATCTGGCACATTCTATCTGTTACAGAAAAGGCACTCTCTCCAGCCTAGACTCAAGAAGAGAGGAATGAGACATTGTCTCTTGAAGGGAAAATGGCAAGGTCACACTGCAGAAGATCAAGTGGAATGGGAGATATTGTTGACTATCTTTACAAAATACAATCTGCTACAGATACGAAATATTTATTTACCCAATGTGAAACCAAATTAAAAATGATACAAACAATCCATCTGGATTGATTTCCTTGATTTTCAGATACTTTAGGTATATTATTAATTTAATACCAGTTTTTCTAGAGAATATGCATTGCAATCATGATATGTAGTCCACTGCAGGAAAGTTAAATTTAGATATTCATTTCCAATTTATTTTGTGGCCAGAAATGTCAGCTAATGCCTTATAAATATAATTTGATTATATCTCACTGCAATCCAGTGAGTCTATAATATCCTGATTTTACAAATAAGAAAACTGAGGTATAAATCAGATGGTAAAATGTATAGTAAACTTACAAAAATAAAAATGCCATATCAGTGCATAGATATTATAATAAAAATAAAGGTTGTACCCAAACAAATTTTACGTAAATATTTATCTCTCTGTCTCCCTCTCTGTCTCTCTCCTCCTCTCTCATTCTGTGTGTGTGTGTGTGTGTGTGTGTATGTAAAGTCTAAAGATGGTTTGGTTTATTCAACAAATGGATCTATAAAATTAACTAAATTAATCTGGGTGAAACACTGTCAGCACATTTTTTGGCACTGTTTTGTAAAATTTTAGTTTTAGAATAGTAGTAGAATTACGGAAAAAGTGAAGATTATACAAAGAGTTTCCTTTCACCCCACATCTGGATTTTCTTTAACAAACATCTCACACAAATGTAGTAGCATAGTCATTATTAATAAAACAATATTTTTAAATGATTATGAATTAAAGTCTACATGTTATTTATTTTTTTAGTGTTTGCTTAATGCCCTTTTTATCTTCCAGGATACCATCTAGGGTACATTACATTTAGTCACCGTATTATCTTGGGCTGTTTGCTGTGAAAATTTCTCATAATGCCCTGTTTTTTGAAAAACAGTCTTGAAGTTTACTCATCAAGTACTTTGTAGAGCATTCTTCAATTCAAATTTGTCTGATGTTTCTCTCATGATTAAACTGGAGTTCGGTTTTTGGGAGGAAGACCTCAGCTGTGAAGGGTCATTTTCATGACATCATATTAAGGGTACATACTATTGAGGTGGGAGATCAACAGGACTTGTTTTCCAAGCACTGGTCACGGCCCCATTTGTGACCCCCCTGATCAGAGCAGTATCTGGTCTAAACAGGGTATAGTGAGGAAACCAGCCCAAACCAGCAGACAGCAAGGAAAAATAACCTCTAGTTGCCCTTACTGCTCATTAGCATAGACACTCTGTCTGGCACCATAATAGTTTACAAATGCCATTGCAACAGGACATGGCAGTGGTCCAGAAGTTACCTTATATGGTTCCAGGAACTCTGCCCCTTTTCTAGAAAGTTCTAAATGACCTGTCTCTTAATTAGCATGTAATTAAAGTTGGTATAAATATAGCTGCCAACAGCCCACATGATGCTACTCTGGGCACACTGCCCATGGGGTAACCCTGTTATGCAAGGATTGGTACATCTGTTGCTGCTGTACACTGCAGCTTTCATAAAAGTTGCTTTCCAGTACCAATGGCTCACCCTTGAATTCTTTCCTGGGCACAGTCAAGAACCCTCCCAGGCTAAGCCCTAATTTTGAGGCTCACCTGTCCTGCATCACTATCAATATGACTTATAACTATTGATGCTATTGTTGATCACCTGGCTAAAACAGTGTTTATTAGGATTTTCCATTCTAAGCTTAGTATTTTCCTACTTTTTAGTACTGTATTCTTTTGAAGGAAATCAATGTGAGTAGCTCACACTAATGGAGTGGGGAATTATGCTCCATCATGTTGAGGATGAAGTACCTATATATATTATTTGTAATTTTTCAGTGTATAAGATTTGTCTATTCACCCTCATTTAGTTATTTGGTTATTTATAAGTATAGACTCATGGATATTTATTTTATACTTCAAATTATAATCCAATACTGTTTTATTTGTTGTATTGTTCAAATTGTCCCAGTTTGGGGCTCTGGAATTTCAGCTGACTTCTGTATCCATTTAACCGAGCCCCATGTTTTTGGAATTTTTGAGCATTTTGTTTTATTTCTATGAGAGGCTCCAGTCATTTTGTTTATTTCCTATTCCAATCCTCGAATCAGCCATTTATCTAGGGAGTTCTGCATCCTTTCAATGGACAATGGTATTAGAAACCAAGGTTTGGGTGCCTAGGTCATTCTTTTAACTTTTATGTTGAGGTAGTTAGCAACTCACAATAAAAGTATAGAAATAACACAGAGTTCCTGTGTACCATTCATAAAGTCTCCCTCCATAGTAACACATTACAAGACTATAAAACATTATCATAACCATAAAACTATATTACTTATATTTCTTATTGAATCATGTAGAATAAATAAATAATACTTTGATTATTGAAGTTTTTTTCTGATGTTCACTTGGTCAAGAATAAGCAAAAAATGTGAATAGAAGATATAGTATCATCTCTTAAAGCTTAGTCAGTGATAAGACAGGTGAGTACCAGCCACTGGAATGTTCTGAGAAACTAAGGATGCCATTGGCTCTCCATTATCACTGGAGATTGATAATAATTATACTGTCTACTTTTTATCAGTATCTGCTTTCTCCTTCTCTCTCCTCCCCACTCTCTCTGTCTCTTCAAATTTCTTTTTCTGATTTTTCTTGCTCATATACACGAAACATCTAATTATCAATTCATAACTCCATCCTCACAAAGAGATTGGTTATATTTAAAACTCAACTTTGAAGGGAGAAAGGAATAGGAAATAATTCAGGAAATATTGAAAGAAGGGAAGCCTTTGAGATAGAATAAGAGATTCTATTATTAAAAATTGGTCAGGTATTAATGAACAAGACAATTACCCGGATTCAGACAAGCTAGGTCAAAAACACAAATTAGACTGCCAGGTCTTCCTTTTTTGGGGAGATGGGTATCTGAAAGGGAGATATATTATAGTTTTGTATTTGCTCACAATAATTCTTCCTCAAAATACATTATTTCATTAATACAGCAAGTTCACAAGAGTTTTCAGTGTCCTCAAGGGTCACAGGCCTTCTTTCCCCTCTCAAAAACCTCATTATATGGAGGGAACAGCCTCTCTATTTACCATCTGTCTATTATCTATCTATCTATCTATCTATCTATCTATCTATCTATCTATCTGTCTATCATTTTTCCTTGATGGTTAATTTAATTGAAAAAATCTTATAAAATTTATTTGACATGACATTGATTATTCTGATGCTCTATGGCAAATTTTCTTGGCTGAGAATACCAAGGAAAAACTGGAGATTATTTCTAGAAGAAAAAAAAGCAAATTAAAAAGCAAGGACAAAAGAAAAAACCTCATATAAACTGTTTCTATATGCCCATTTGTACCTGTGAGACAATGCCAATTCTACATTGTATAGGATTTTCAGTTTTGAGGAAAACTCTCTTCAAGTAGACATCAAGATGATAGCAACAGCATCTTTTAGGGGAATACCCAACCCTCCTGCATATAGATCCCTGGCTTGATGACAAAATGACGAGACTACATTAATCACACGCTAACCAGCCAGAAAATAAGAAGTGCACAATAAGAAGTTATCTTGAAAAAGAATCAGCCACAAGTTTAAAGGGATAGTAACTTTCACCAGCTTTAAAACTTTTACACAAATCCCTTGTATTCTATGTTTAAACGAATCCAGTTTTTCGCTCCAATTATTTAATGCAGAAGTACTTATTATAATAACTTACATTTAATACTAGATTTTTTAATTTTCCAAATTTATTCAAGGATATGTAATAAAAACCCTATTTGTATGCATTTTTCTTCTGAAGACAGAGTGGCACTTGACAGATTTTATGTCTTTGTCACTGCCTACAGTAACTGAGTTAAAAATAGCTAATGATAGAAGAGATAATAGAACTCCCATATTTTCATTATAATTAGATATTAACCTAGTCATTCCTTGCCTTCCTCATCCACAACATTTAAAACTTCAAGAGCAATCCCTGCTAAAAAAATGAGGAGTAAAATCAAATGAGAAATCCAAAGCCGCGTGTTTTCATCCCAGGCTGTGATATGTCATCATGCGTTACAGCTATCATTTATGAGTAAACACTAAATTAAATGCTAGATAATGGAATTACAATGGTTTATTAATGATGGATAATGTTTATCTGAAAAATTTAAAAGCTTCTAAAACAAGGTCTTTTATTTTAAAATATCTTTTTTGTTATTGTTGACAAAAAGAGTAAATTGAAATCTATCATGGAAGGAAAGCACTCTTAATTACAAAAGCCCTTTTTATTTGATATGATCAGTTCTGCAGACATATATAAGCAGAGATAAGAAATGATAGATAATAACTGACAAATATGTAATGTTTCCCTGAAGAGAGAGGTGACTGAAAAACAGATCTTTTTAATGTTACTGTGATAGATTTCTACCAGTTAGTTTTGTACACTTATTTCCTCCAGTCTATCTCCAAAGGTGAGCAAAGAAAAAAGCCTCCATATTTCAGTAGGTGACCACCTGAAATAAATTTACCGAAACAGCTTTAAAAAGTGGGAAAGCTTTATAAAGCAATTAAAATGACACCATTGGCTAGATTCTTGACTTTCCTACCATGATAGCATAATTATCTTTCCTTTTTTCTTTCTGTTCTTGTATTCGTGTATGTGAAATTCTATGCCATGCATCTTGAATTCTCAGGATATCAGAAATCTGATGACCTGAGTTTTCGCTTCCCCTCTAACACTCTCTGGCACTGGGAGCAGAACATCTTCCTCTTGCTTAATATTTTCTTCTTGTCAAATTGCTTCAAGTCTCTTATTTTCTGATTCCACCCATGTAAGATATAAACAATGTATCTAGCTGTTAATCATAATTTCTCCAAAAGAATAAACAAACAAACAAAAACCTTTTTTCACACAAGATATTAGCATATGGAAGAGCAGGTGGAATACAGTGAGTTGTTTTTCCCTTGCTGGTGGAAAGTGTATGTTTCAAAAACTGTTTGGAAAAAATTTTTTTCCTACTTTCCATGATAGATGTCAAATTGTATTTCTCTGTCTATGAACATTTCTTACTGAATTTCAATTAGAGGAATAAGAGTAACAAAATCAAGGAACAGTGATAGTAAATTCTCCTCCTAAACACTACCATCTACTTCCCCATTACTACATTTTATTTCTCTCTATAAAAACAGAAGTGGCTGTCAATGTATAACTCCACAAAAAGCTTCTACCACCAAGGAAACCTCATAGGATTAAAAACTCTGTGTCAAGAATCAGGGTCAAAGGCAAAATATTTGAGGAAAGTATGCTCCTAGCACACCTATCACTTAGAAAATTACAAAGGATTTTAGAAGCTCTATGCCAGGAACAGGGGACAAAGGCCAAAATATATAGTCATGTCTTGCATAATCATGTTTTGATCAACAATAAACCACATACATGATAGTGGATCCATAAGATTATAATGGAGCTGAAAAATTCCATAGCCAAGTGACATCTTAGCTAGTGTAACATCATAGTGAAATTCATTACTCACATGCTGGTGTTGATACTGGTGTAAAGAAACCTACTGCATTGACAGTCTTATAAAAGTATAGCACGTACAATAATGTGCAGTACATAATACAACTTGATAATGATTATAAATGACTATGTT
Source organism: Homo sapiens (assembly GCF_000001405.40). Lineage (NCBI taxonomy): Eukaryota > Metazoa > Chordata > Mammalia > Primates > Hominidae > Homo > Homo sapiens. Next base: position 37,714,385 of record NC_000011.10, on the reverse strand, counting down.
ACTGGCTTATGCATCTCCTACACTATACTTGTTATTTTAGAGTATACTCCTTCCAGTTATACACATATATGTATAACTATACATATTTATAACATATATATGTATGTATATATCTAACTGCAAAACAGCCACAGGCAGGTCCTTCAGGAGGAATTCAAATAGAAGGCATTGTTGTCATATGAAACACTACTCCTGTTTCTGTTACTGCCCCTGAAGACCTTCCAGTGGGACAAGATGTGGAGGTGGAAGACAGTGATATTAATCATCCTGACCCTGTGGAGGCCTAGGTTAATGTGTGTGTTTTGCATCTTATTTTTAACAAAAAATTTAAAAAGTAAAAAATAAGGTAAAATACAAAAAGCTTATAGAATAATGATATAAAGAAAAAGTATTTGTTCAGCTATGAAATGTGTTTGTGTTTTAAGCTAATTCTTAAGCATCAAAAGCATCAAAAAATAAAAGTTTATAGAGTTAAAAAGTTACAGTAAACTAAGGTTAACTTATTATTGAATACAAATATTTTTTATAAATTTAGTGTAGCCCAAGTGTACAGTACTTATAAAATCTACCATAGTGCACGGTAATGTCCTAGGCCTTCATAATCACTTACCACTCACTCACTGACTCACCCAGAGCAACTTCCAGTCCTGCAACCTCCATTTATGGTAAGTGTCCTGTACAGATGTACTATGTTTTATCTTTTATGCCATATTTTTATTTTACCTTTTTTACATCCAGGTGTGTTTAGATACATAGATACGTATCACTGTATTACAATTGCCTACAGTATTCAATACTATGACATGCTGCACAGCTTTGTAGCCTATGATCAATAGGCTGTACTGTATATAGCCTACGTGTATAGGTGGCTATACCATCTAGGTTTGTGTAAGTACAATCTGTGATGTTCACATGAGAATAGAATCATCCAATGACCCATTTCTCAGAATATATCCTTGTTGTTAAGCTATGCATGACTATTTCTTATTATAAATCACAATAACCACTGTAAAATCTAGAGTCACATGGTTTTGAATAAGAAGGCACCAGGTTGGCCAGATATATAGAGGGAATTATACATAAAACTTAAAATATTTGCAGTTATATATTACCTACTTAACAAAACAGATAATATTATACACTCAATGTATAGTAGCTCCATGGCTTTGAGAGGGATTTGATAAATTTCAAATTTCCAAAATTAGGGACTTAATTTTCTCAGTTTACGGAATACACACCATTCTCCTAGTGATTAATTCATATTATCCATGTTCACAGGGCACAGGTGTGCAACATCTTACAGAACACAAAAGGAATATCTGCAGGTATACTCTGGGCAGAAGGCACTGGATTATCAATGACTTTGAAAGGAAAGGCAAATTAGGCATAACTCAGTCAAAATAAAGTACAGTGAAACTAGTTGTTTTAAAATACTGATTCTAGTAGTGGAAGCCAGACCCTGATATTTGCAATATTCACTTTGGCAGTACCAGGCGTTTGCTAAGGAGATGAACATATCAAAAGATCATTTTCCTAATGTGTAGAAATTCCATTCTGAGCTAAATCTGTTCATATGCATCCTGCCTTATTCACAAATATGAAAAGCACATCTTGTTTAGGCACTATATATCTCTTATTTTTTGATGTTTTTGTTTGCTTACTTTTAAATAATTTTCAAGCACATTACCAGTGAAAAAGTTAAGCATAAATGCTTCACAAAGACCTGAGTGACTTAAAAACCTTTCTCAGGAAAAAAAAAAAGTCTTAGAAAATGAATTGAATATATATGAAAATTTAGCATGCAGCTACTGCAAGACAGAGTGAAGGATCCCCGCCATGCACAGGGAACACAACAAAGACCCAAGAGATGCACTTAGAAGCCATGGCAGATGGGTCTGTTAAGACAGAGCAGACCAATTAAGGTTGTATTTGGAGCACTCCGTCACCCCTAGAGGACAGAGAGAAAAACGAAAGGAGGAGGCCCTGCATTTAGTAACTGCTCAGATTGCAAAGCTGTGTATGAGAAGTATGTCCCTGGGAATGAGATGCTTTTTATTTGTACTGTGCTTTTTTTCTTATGCATTGTGATCAGCATTCAGGGATTCTCTACTACACTGGGTGTTATTTTTATCTTTCAAAGGAGCACAAATGAAGCCTGGTTCCCGTTGCTGTGTTTTTATTTAGTTCACATTTACTCCCCAAGACACGTCTTTTTAGCAGCTTGGATAGTAGGACTCTTCTGGAACAACCCCACAGGAGAGGGACAGAGCAAGTCACCAGAGTTTTAAGCATCTTCTTAGAGTTAGACTGAATTTATCTTAAGATAAAAAAAGCACCCTTTTCTAAATGTCAATAGCTTCTCTAAGCTACCTAGGTGGCTCTGCCTGCTCCTTAAAAGTAACTATATTTGAGGGAAAGGAAAGAGCTCAACAAAATACGTGGAAATGCTTTAACTAAATCTTATGTACAATTATAGACAATTACACATGCAAAATCCAATAACAGATACCAAATAATCTGACAATTATTTTGGGGGGATAGGTACTATTTTTCAATATTGCTAAGTAGCTGAAGTTAAGGCACTGCTTAGTTACAGCTTCAAAGCAAAGAAGATTTTTTTTTTTTTTACTTCCAAAATATTTCCCCTTTCTAATTATTTGGCATTGACTAAAATTCTCATACACTCATTCCCATCAATTAAGGCAATAAAAGTCACTACTAAAATTTAAATGTCATTTGGGAAGGATATTTCAGATTGATTAACTAACCGCTTGGGGAGAAAGTGCAATATTTGTTAACCTCTAATTCTTTGCCAGACAGTATGTTAGAGATGCTTTCAAAGTTATCTGCTTCAATTCTAATTATTTATATACAAAGTAGATATTGTTACTTCCATATTAAGAATGAGGAAACTAAGGCTTACTGCCATTAAATAACACGTTTAAGTTTGCACTGCTAGTAGATTAACCTGAAAATTCTAGTCAGTTTGAGTCCAAGCAGACTGGTTCTTTCTGCCACATTTCCTCCCTAGCAAACATCTTGGAAAAAATGGTTGGGGCAACTACATTTTAATGTGAAAAAAAAATGCTTTAAAAAGTATTGTTATAGAGAACTGGTGGGAAAATCTTTAGTAGTCTTCATGAAAGGAACAGAGGGAAGAGAACGTTCTACAGAGATGTTCATGTTCGTGTGTGTGCTCTGGGTATGTGTGTGCAGGGGTAGGGTGGGCTTTCCTCAACATACAGTTCTCAGATCTTTCCCCAAGTGTTGCTACTCTTGAGTATACTCTTTGAGGATACTCTTAGGTAAAACACTCAGAAAATAGAGTAAAGCCTTCCTGCTGCCTAATGAGAAGCATTCTATCATCACCAACCCAAGCTTCTGAAGTCTGGTTATTTGGTATAGCCTAAGAAAAGTTATTCCAAAAGAAAGGAAAATATTACTGATTCCTGGTCAGAGGACAGAAACCCAATCACTCTATACAAATCCATTTTAAGTCAAGTGATTTAGTTCAAATGAGGGGAATAAGTAATTGAGACTCTTGAGAGAGAGAGTGCTCTGTCCTCAGGTCCAGTGTGTTGGTACTTGTCAGGAATGGGAGAGTGAGCTTTGCAATTGTTCACAAGATAGTTCTATGAAGCCTCATTAAGTATTGACAACTCATTCATTATTTTTAAAAATTCTATCTGGAAGAATCAAAATACATCCGGAACCCAGATGTAATCTTAGGGTTTCTGATACATGACTACTATATGTCAAGTTTATTTAAAACAATGAAAATATGGTTATAGAATAAAAGAGATTAGTATTATTACTCACATAGGTTGTTTTATTTAATTCTCACTTCAGCACAGGAGAGTAGGCAGAACAAACCTTAACCTGTATGACATTCAGGTTTCTCTAAATGCCATACAGTTTTCAGTTGGGGTTTGGGATGAGTGTCCTCTTTTGCAACATTTAATGGAGTCTCTAGAGACTTCCACTATTTTCAACTGGGAATGGATCTTCTATGCCAAGTCAACTGCAGTCCATGGCAGCTGTTGCTGAGGAAAGCATCGTGAAAAAACACTTTCTGTCTCCCTCTCTGTTACCTCCCCCTTTTTGCTAGTTCTGCAAATCCACTCTGTGCTGTGCCAAGAAAATGCCATCTGCCTCCTACACAAAAGGGAATAGTTTCCAACATAAGTAAGCAGTTTTACAACTCCAGAGTAGGAACTTGTGGAAGTAAAATTGCAGTTAGAAGGAAAGAATCCACAGCTTACATCTTGACATTCCTTTTTAGTTGGTGCTTTTGTGTATTCTTGCTTCATTAAAATGATTTCTTACTAAGCAAATGAGAATTTCAGGATCATCATCTCTTCATGTGAGTGAAATCAGGGCCATAAAATTAAAGTGGTCTAAGCAATTATATTTACTCTCAAGAACCATGTGTGTGACTGGAGGAAAACATCAAGAAAACTCATAAAACAGCAAACTTCTCCAAATTTCAGGTTCGTAATAACTTTTTTAGATGTTCAAAATAGAGTATTTTTGTAACAAGAATTAACTTCTTATAGAAACTTTGGGAGGAATAATTCTGATCTTCCACAGGTGAGTAAGACATGGGCAAGGCTTTCAAGAAGTTTGAAACACATATAATGACAAAGGTGGTCTCTTCAAGAAAACAGTAATGTGATTTTATGTAAATTACATAATATCATTGAGACTCATCTACATCATCTGTGAAATGGGTGATTTTGCAGATTCGATGATGTAAGTAGGGTTGGGTGCGGTGGCTCATGCCTGTAATCCCAGCACAATGGGAAGCCGAGGCGGGTGGATCATCTGAGGTCAAGAGTTCAAGACCAGCCTGGCCCACATGGTGAAACCCCTTCTCTAATAAAAAAACAAAATTAGCCATGATGGTGGTGCACACCTGTAATCCCAGCTACCTGGGAGGCTGAGGCAAGAGAATCGCTTGAATCCAGGAGACGGAGGTTGCAGTGAGCCGAGATTGTGCCATTGCACTCCAGCCTGGGTGAGAGAGCAAGACTCCATCTCAAAAAAAAAAAGAAAGATATAATTAGTATTGTAGGGTGGTTCCTTCATTGGGTGGTTTTGTGCGTTAATGATATATAATGCAAGCAAAATTTTAGGTACATAATGGACGTTCAGTTCTCTGTATTTGGCTACTTTACTCTGTAATTCCAAATTAAACAATAAATTTGGCATACTTTGCTCTGCTCTAAAATGATAGCTTTTATTATACATATGTATGTGTGTGTGTAAGTGTGTATCTTCCCTTTTTAATGAAGTTTCTTTAAGAATCTAACAAGATCACAGATGTGAAAGCCTCATATATTTTTTTAAATGTTCTATAAATGTAGAGTATAATTATTATTTGTCATAATTAAATAGATGTTTGAGGCTCGGCAAAATATAATGCTGGAGGTGTTAAGCAGCCACCACATCATGAAGGCCTTCATAGTAAGGAAAGAGAAAAAAATTTTTGTTTGAGAAACATGTAGTGTGACAAATGGATAAGAATTTATAGAATTAGATTTGATCATAAGGCAGAGGACTGAGTAGTCAAGAAAGATGTCCCATTTCTAACTTGAACAATTAGACGATGGCAGCACCATTTACTTAAGCAACAGTGAATGGCAAGCAAACAGTGAGGGGAAGGCAAAGAATTCTGGATTAGAAAGCATTGGGTTACATATTTAGAACACACACAAAAAAGATATTCAGTAGGCAGCTAAGCATATACTTCTGGATTTCAGAAGGAAGATCTAAGTTTTATTGATGTCTGATTGATTGATTGCTCAGAACTTTGAGAATTGATGATCTCACCAAATAGGTGCATGTGGAATAAGAAAAGAAGATAATCTAGAATAGAATGCTGAATTGTGTTTTCCTTATTTGGGCTAAGTAAGAAATGAACTTTTCCTAAAAGACATTTAAAATCTCTTTGTTGTTACATATCATTAAAAATTTCATCAAGGTCTCAGATCTCAGAAGTGGATACTACAGTAATACTCAGTCTACACCTATAAAATAAATTGTTACAAAACATGATTGTTGGAAGAATTGAATGAGATACTTATAATGTAACTTTTATTGCTGGCTGGTGTTTTCTCTGGCTAGATTTAAGATTCCTCTTTCCTTTTTACTTGCTTTCCTTACCTCTTTTTCTCATTTTAAAAATTTCAAGTACTATCACAAGTGACTACAAGTCAATTGTGACAAATTTGTTTTTGAAGTCTTGAATTCATAATGTACAAAATTTAATGCTCCTGGTTATTTTTATTCCTCATAGCTCCTTTCTTGCCATTAAGTTTCCTTTTTCATTTAACTCATATTTTTCTTATCATTACATTGACACTCATTAACAGCTTGTCTTCTGAAAACATCTTGAGTGTTATCTTTTATTTATATCTCTGGTCCACTGTAATAATTTTAGTAGTACTCACCCAAAAATATTTATAAAACACAATTTTTACCAAACGTGTTAAAATTATAATTCCTCAAATAAAATTTATTATTACAAATACTGTAACTACAGACACAAGATGAGGAATACATAAGAAATTTTCTAGAAATTCTATATGTTCTTTAGCCCCCACCCCCCAGAGCTTCATTGCGTTATGTATTATCATTCTGCTGCATGCTACCCCTGCACCCCATGCCATGCATACATAGTTGACCTGCTAAGTAGCCCGTTAGTTCTGTCCCTTAGACCATGAAAGTGGTAGTTATGATTATAAATGTAATCACCACTAAAGAGTGTTCCCAAGCTATTGTTCTAAGTGTATAGTTCCTAAACTTAAGGAAATCTTCTATCCCCTAAGTTTATTCACTCACTCAAGAAACTCTGTTGAACAAATAGGCACAACTGAGTAGAAATAGAAAGCCCAAGTTTCTCATCGATTGAGCAAGGATGCATCTAGTTCAGTCAATAAAATTGCAACATTGAGCTAGAGGACCAAGGTGAGATGAAGCTTTAGTAAGGTAAGAGGTTAATCAACTCTTCCAAGGAAGACTTTTTAAAATATATTAGTCCCTTTGCAATTATGACTAATTGCAGATAAATGACTTTGTGGCTTTTCTTCTGTGATCATGTAGGGCAGTGCTTTTTAATACATATTCTTTGTAGCCATTGTCACTCTATTTGGTAGCAATAGGGTCAAGATTTACAATTTGCCTTTCTGACTCCTGAGGCAGTATTTTGTAAGCGAATAGAAGCAAATAAAATAAAATACTGCATTGCCTGATAAGGTGAGGGAAATGATGACAACTGAAAGGGTGATCATGGAGCAATGCCATGAAGGTATAAAACTTTGTGCAGACATTGTCTTACATAAAGCACAAAGAATACATGTGAACATAATGGAGAAAAGTTTAGTTGGTGTGTGAGTACTCCCATTCCATCTAGCTAATCTTGTGAGACAGATAAACTCCTGATTGGGTCCCAGGTCACTAGTTAAAAGAGAGTCTTGTCGGTGAGGCAAATTCAAGAAGAAGCCCACGAGAAAGAGTCAGATGTAATGTACTAAAAAGCAGTGTCAGTGCCAAAAAAAAAAAAAAAAAAAAAACCCACACAGGATAAAGGCAAGAAGAGTTGGTATTCAGGTAGTAAAACCAACTAAAAGTGAAATCTGAATGATATGAAGATGACCTGAAAATGTTCTTTGGAGCAGCTGCTTCTCTCTTTAATGGAAGTTGCCTGATAAGTGGGTTTGGAAAGATGTCTAATAATATACCACACAAAGGACTAACAAAGAGTCAAAGAGTTTCAAATTGATTCAATTATGGTACAAGAATATATATTCTGTTTATTAAGCAAAAGCACAGTGAGATGAAAACTGCTGAGGAAAAAAAAAGACACTGATAGCTTAGAAAATGTGGTCTGAGCTATGTTGGATATTACAATCAGGCAGAAAAAAAAATCATACTGGCTGTTCTGCATTCATTCACTCAGTAAGCTGGCACTGCACCCCACGAACTACGCTTCTCAGTAGGTATAAAGGAGTGAGCACTTTGACAAAGTCCTTGGCTCCATGAGTCTTACATTTAGTGGAGAAAGAGAGATAGTAAAATGCATCTGTGACAATTAATTGAAAATGAATGATAAAGAGAAAAACAGGATAAGAGAAATAAGTTTCTGGAGTCACACAGAGGTGTTACTTTCTATGAGTAATCAAGTGATACTTTAGCATAGTGACAAGGTAACACTTGATTGGGACCTATAGAAGTAGGAGACATTGTAGGTTACATGAATCCATAGAATAAACAAGACTAAAAACTTATGTTATAGACAGAATCCAAAAAATGTAAAAACCTGCTTTGTAAGCAAAAGTTTGTACTTTTATACAGTGATGGGAAAATATCTCCAATGGATCCTTGTGAAGAGAAGGCTACATGATGTTGCAGAAAATGTCTTCCCATAGGATTATTTTCTTACAAATATTTCTTGAGACATACCTCATTGGAAAATGATGGTGAAACATCACTGTTAATATGTACTAGTGCCAAAACAATGCAGTTCCAATAAACAATTTTTAGAATTTTAACTTGATATGAGGTGAAATTTAGAGAATGCAGAGAAATTTATGGATAATAATTATATATCATGATTGTGACAGTGGCAATATTCCTGCACTGTTATCCTAATGAGAGACAGAAAAACCTCTGGCTATATTCTCAGCCTAGCTAGCATCTCTGCCCAGTGGAATATTTTTGCAGACTATGTCTGAATTAGATGGTAATGAAAGAATAGCTACAATTAGGCAAAAAAAAAAAAAAAAAAAAAAAAAAAAAAAATTCTGTTGGTTTTTTTTAAAAAAAGAACTGAAAAGAAAAAAAATAGATTTTAGTTCTGCAATAGAAAATAGTAAATTATAAATCTATTCCAGCCAAAATGAACAGCATTCTTTCCTCTGATGTAGTGCTATTTGACATTTCTTTCTTTCTTTTTTAGAAAAGCCTAGATTTCCTAAGTCAAAATATTGCAGCTGACATTAAAAAAATGTCTGAAGTGAATTTCCTCTGATGTGACTAATCTCTCACTATAATTATCCTTTGACCTAAAGATATAGTCAACTTTTAACATTTGCACCCTAGAACTTTTGTCAAACAGATTAGTTTAAGAACTAAATATTGTCTCACTAGTCTGACTGAATATGTGAACATGCACACACACACACACACACACACACACACACACACGTAGTTCCCAAGAGATAGGGAAGTGTCCTGTGGGACACTATATACTATTCAGGAAACTACATTCAGGGTATTTCTTGCAAATTACTCTTATTTCACCTGGTTAATAGAAAGAGCATAGAGCAATTTACAGGTCAGGCTGAAGGAGGTTAAAACTCTGATTCTTCCACTTACAAGTTATGTGAAATTGCGAAACAACTCATTTTCTCAAAACTTATTTCTTCATCTGTTAAATGAGATTATAAATACTTTCCTCTTAGTATAGTTGCAAGAATCAAATTACTGAAAACACCCTGATCTATAAAAGCAATATATGCTGATTTACTTTCTACCATCTAATTTGCTTCAATAGTCATATGAATTAACACTGGTCCAAAAATGCATTAAAAACAGAAATCCAACTAGGAAAATATTTTGCATAAAAAACTAATATTCAGATGACTCTACCTTCTATAGTCTAAGACTTAGGTTATTTCTGCCTTTGGAGTTTTATATAAACACTATGCTTATAATGAACACAATGAGAATCGTTTCTTTTAGTAAGCTGTTGTCAAATATCTGATAAATTATATAACAGTGGCATCTTAGCGTTAGGAAAACATTGGGCTTAGAATCTATTGCAGACTCCACAGTAGTAGTCTAATTATATCATAATTGTATATATTTTAGCATAAAAGTATGGTATACTGCAATATAAATATCATACAAAATTATGTAAGACAGGGTTTCTCATCTTCCCGTTCCTCTATCTTGTGTTTGCTTTTTGTTTCCATGCCTGAGAATGTGCAGAATCTTTTTGCATTAAATTTTTAATTGGTGACTTCCACACACTACTGGTCCATCAAAAATCATCTATGTTGTAGTTGTCTGGCAGACGGGGAACTATTCTCATATTCAAACATCTATGTTCTAGTAAAGGATAAGAATTCTGATGCTGGTAAGCTTGGTAAACAGAGCTGGAAGAAAAATACAGATCAACAGCTGTTTCAAACTATCTGTAATGTTGTCCTAAGATGTGAATGAAAAAAACAAAAAACAATAAACAAACAACAACAACAAAAAAACGATGAGGTCAGGCGTGCTGGCTCATGCCTGTAATCCCAGCACTTTGGGAGTCCGAGGTGGCCGGATCACAAGGTCAGGAGATAGAGACCATCCTGGCTAACACGGTGAAACCCCATCTCTACTAAAAATACACAAAATTAGCTGGACGTGGTGGCACGTGCCTGTAATCCCAGCTACTCGGGAGGCTGAGACAGGAGAACTGCTTGAACCCGGGAGGCGGAGGTTGCAGTGAGCCAAGATTGTGCCACTCCATTCCAATCTGGGCGACTTAGCAAGACTCCATCTCAAAAAAAAAAAAATGCTGGAACATATTTACTAAAACACACATTTTCAACTGGAAAGCATCAAGAATGGCACAGGATCAAATTTGGATCTGTTTTTGTCCTCTAAATGTGATACTTTAAAGAAATCGTGAAATAACAGTTGATAATTAAAATACCACATATAGTATCACCACTTTCATTCCCTCTACTTCTTGGGTACATAAAAGAAGACACTCCCTGCATCCTTTGAGGGTAGGAAAGATCAAATGATTGATCTGCCAAATGGTGTGTGAGTAGAAGAAACATGTGTCACTTCTAAGCATTTAATCCTTGCTGTCTTACCTCTCTTCTTTCTTTCACTTTCACAGTCATTAGGGAAAATCTCCATGTTGATACGGAAAAGCTGAGTTTTTGAGCCACAGCAGGGCAGAAAAGTACCCTGGAAGACTGGTCTGACCCTCATGAGATGTTGTGTGATTAAAACACAGATATATTTTGTTCCATTTTTACTCTAGGGCTTATGATATAGTCTGGATGTTGTCCCCTTTAAATCTCATGTTGAATTTTAATCCCCAGTGTTGGAGGTGGGGCCTGGTAGGAGCTGATTGGATCACGAAGGCCAATTTCTCACAAATAGTTTAGTGCCATTCCTCTTGGCACTGTCCTTGGAATGACTTGGGGTGCTGTCCTCACAATAATGAGTTCTAACAAGATCTGGCTGTTTAAAAGTTTGTAGCACCTCTGCCCTCACTCTCCTGCTCCCATTCTGGATGGCTCCCCCTTTGTCTTCAGACATGACTGTCAACTTTCTGAGGCCTCACCAGAAGCTAAGCAGATGTCCACTGCCCACGCTTTCTGTACAGCCTGCAGAACCATGAGCCAGTTAATCCTCTTTTTTTTTTTTGTAAATTGCCCAGTCTCCAGTATTTATTCATACTAGTGCAAAAATGGCCTAATAGAGCTTATTTTTACTGTAGGCCTAATACGGCCTTTCCAGACTAATTAAATGGGAGAGTTCCCAGGCCCTCCTTGCAGGATGTGTGACAGGGATGTGGCTCGCCTGTTTGGTTGCCTGCTGCAGGAGCATGCAGATGGGCAGGTGAAGAAGCTGGGGGCAAGGGCTTTGGGCTACAGCCCTGTGGTAGGGTGGATGCCTGCAACCCATGTTACAATGCTTTCTTAGCCTTGCCATCCACAGATGGCTTTAAGGGTTAAAGCCCTGTCACAAAGGCAGAGGGCCAGTGTGACAGCTTTCTGTATCCTTGACAGCTTTCTGATATCTCTTGACCATCATCCCAGAAAAATTTGGCTCACACGGGCTCGACGAATGAATGTGAGGTTTACTCAGTGGTGGAGGTGGCTCTCAGCAGGGTAGATGGGGAGCCAGAATGTGGGGATGGAGTGGGAAGATGATCTTCCCCTTGAGTTGGACTGTCCAGCAGCTGAACTCCTCCCCAAACGCCATCAGCCAAACTCCTCTGTAGTCCCAGCTAACTCAAGTGGCTGAGAAAGGAGGATCCCTTGAGCCAGGGAGGTTGAGCTAGGGAGGTGAGCCCTGATCACACCACTGCACTGCAGCCTGGAAGACAAAGTGAGACCCTGTCTCAAAATCAATAAATACTTAAATTACTATCTTCTGCTAAGGTTTACACTATAGATGCAGGAAAAAAAATGTCCTCACACTGTCTGTCTGATTGTGGCAGCTGAGATTGAATAGAGAAATATAGGGGTAAAATAAAAAGAACTTGTATGTATAAAGACCATGAGTTGAAAAGAAACACATTGAATTTAAACTGCTGAAAGAAGGCCACTGTGGCTGAAAAGGAATTAAGTGGTTCAAGATGAGTGTAGTGAGGTAGGCAGGGGATGCATTATGAAGGGCTTTTGTGACCTTATGATGAATATTACAAGAAAAATAAATCACTACAGTATCTAGACAAAGGAATGGCATACTTTAATTCATATTTGAAATGCGAATAAATTACTTGACGAAAGAGAGTGAATGCTAGGAGAACAGTTTGGAGGTTCAATCATGCTTGTTCAGGGAATAAAAATTAAAGACTAGTTATATGGGGAGAGGAGAACAAATTGTGTGATTTTTGGATAGAGAGGTGTTATTCCCAAGATTCTGTCTTTCACAGCTAAATTGAGGGTAATGGATCCACTAAGATGTCCTTGAGCTATTTCCATTAAAATAGCAATTCAACCTGCCCTCTGACGTATACAGATATCTCTAGTTGAAGAATAATATCTCCTTGCCTTATTTTACAAAACTCATCTCTTAAGCATATCGCATTCCTGTACATCAAATGCACTGTGACTTACCTAATTTCTTATTAGAATTAGATGTATTCTACAAGCTAGGTTTCCTAAGTTGCCAGTCTTATGTTCATTGTAGCACAATCCACTACATAAAACACATCTTGATTGTGTCTATTTCCCCCCCAAAAAAAACCTTTAAAACTGACATTTGCTTACCAATTAGGATTATAATTATTTTGTGGCATATTGTAGGTATTAAATTTTATCCACCCTCCTTTCCTGTTTTTAACAGTTATGGTTTCATTATACTTTAGTAATTAAAAATTATTTGAACTTGTATACAATATTTTACTGAGATCCATCATTTATGTTATCTACTCTGAAGTCTTTACTGCTTGTATATCTTTTCTTGCAACATTTCCAGTCCACCTGCTATGGCAGTTCCTCTCCATGGAACTTAACTACTCAACAGAATGAAAGCTCTTCTCCCTTTTTCAATATCATTTTCCTTGGTTCACTCCAACTTCTGCCTTCAAATAGCATCTAGTCACTGATGATTTTAAATGGGCATGTTTTATCTCTCTTATTAGATTAGAAGCATATTGGTAAACAATAACTCGGCTATCACTAACCTAGCCTGTACCTATCATGTTTCCTAGAGCGCCCATACATATTATCTATTAAATACAGCTATGAATGAATCCTTGAATGCAAGTTTCTAAATCATGTGTTATAGGAAGAAAAAGAAACATTTTTAGAAAATATAATTTAAAAAATGATTGAGAAGAAAAAAATTCTCTCGAGATTAAAGTGAAAGAAGTTATGTATTTATAATTGAATCAACTCACTCTCATATATGTATTAAAATTGTTTTAATTTTTAATTATTAGATACATAATATTTATAAGGTAGTTATTACAGATTATTTTCCTACTTCTCTACTTTTTATTAAGACATTAAATTCCTTGAAGACATTATTTTATATGGTAATGAGATAAAAAGTTGTGAGTAGTTTGAGAACTGGAGAGAGAAAAATGACTTACCCCATCAATTTTACATATAAACTCAATGGTTCAGTTATTGGGTAAATCCATCTCAATAACCAAGGTTATCAACTCTGCACTTATCAGAAACATTGAATTAATTTCTTTACTAGCACAGAAAGACCTTCACTAAACAAGCTGATAAGAAATTTTGAGCCTAATTCTGTCACAATATTAGCTGGCAATGATTCCATGGGGACTGTATTAAATATTTATTATAATATAATGGCAACATGGAATTAATTATTTTACGTATTGGTGTAAAGGATTATATCCCTCTGGGTCAAAATAATATACAACTAAAAGCTGGCCTGAAAAAGAACAAAATTGTTTTAATTAACACTTCTCACATCTTCTTGCAGAAATATATATTTTAATATCTTTGGCAAATATCTGCTAAAGGAACAGCCTAAATGGAAAAAAAAGCTTTTTGTATTTGTTTGAATCTATCCATTTGAGAGAAGTCAACTTTGCATAGTTATGAGTATAAAGAAGGGTTCTCTTGTTCTGATATGAAATAGATTTGACCCTAATATTGTACAGTAAAGAGAGGTGATATGGTTTTGTTCTGCGTCACCACCCAAATCTCATCTCTAATTGTAATCCCCACATGCCAAGGGAGGGACCTGGTGGGAGGAGACTAGATCATGGAGGTGGTCTCCCCCATGCTGTTCTCATGATAGTGAGTGAGTTCACAGGAGATCTGGTTGTTTGATAAGCATCTGGCATTCCCTCTATGCTCTCTCTCTCTCCTGCTGCCACATAAGGCATGCCTTGCTTTCCCTTTGCCTTCCACCATGATTATGGTTCCTTAGGCCTCTCCACCCATGTGGAACTGTGGGTCAATAAAACCTCTCTTGTTTATAAATTACCCAGTCGCAGATAGTATCTTTATAGCTGTGTGAAAACAGACTGATATAAGGGGTTACTTTGAGAAGGTGAAATGATAGCTAATTGAAGAAAAGTAATGTTGTTAAATAAAGCAGTATCTTAAAAATAAAAATTCTTGAGCTAGAAGAATTAGTACAGACAAATATTCTGAGTAGTTTCCATTATTCTGCTTTATAAATAGAAATACAGAAATTAAAATAGATGTGTCAATAGCATCTTTTTATGAAGACTCTCAAATCATTTAATAGAAGTATATTGCACTTTCTTCTGTTAGAAGCATAATGATAACAATAGACACTCATGATATTTTATTCTCAAGTAGCTTAATTTGCATCCTTGAAAAAATATGGGGAATACAAAATGATTAAAGTATGTTTGGCTGATGTTTGTATATAAATAGAGAAAACCTGGTATTGTGGAAAAATACTGAATCCAAGGCTTTGGTCACTTTCTAATTTTTCTACAAACTCAAGTAGTGATCTAGAACAAAATAACTTTTTCTCACAAAACTCAATTTCCAAAGAGATATAATGGAATGGACAAAATATGTTGATTTATATCTCTAAAATCATAAATCATTACACTTAATGATTAAATATAGAATATAGAAACACTCGCTCCTTAAGTACATATTTAAAAGTGCTTTTCATGCGCCTACTTCAAGTATCATTTTAAAAATTCCTCAGTCCAGGGAATAGCACTGGCAAAGGCCAGATATGGAGACATACACATGAAATTCATATGCAGAATTGGAATAACTGACTTGGATACAACTTTGGACATGTTTAGTTTGTGCTATTATTATAAAATGTAAATGGTCACAAATGAGCAATAGCTGTGAGCTCATAAGGCATGGAGTTTCCGGAATAGATATGAGTTAGGTATAAAGATTTCTTAGCAATATAATGTGTGCAGTTAACACTAAAGAATGTGAAAAAAAATAAGAAGAGAAGGAGTTAATCATAGAATCTTGGGCAACAAAAATGAAAAGATAGAGGGGAAAATGTCTACAAATGAAACTAACTACAGAAAGCTGGAAATAGATCTATCATGTAATAGAAGTCAAAGGAATAGTGGAAGTAGTCAGCATTGTGAAATGCTGCAGAGTTAAAGTTAAATAAAGACTTGGGATCAGTTCAATGGGGTGGTCTTCTAGAACTGCTATTTCCAAGTCACCTATTCTGCTACCTTCTGGAAAATTAAGGGAAGACCTGGTAAAGAAATAAATTTATGATTCAAATCTTCTATGAAATTGATATACCCATCAATTTCACATAATTATGAACAAAAATAGGGTTAGGTTATATGCTAACCTAAGACAATATTTGGATAGAGGAAATTCGGAGGACAAAGTGCAAGAAAATTCTACAGATTAATAAGATATTGGACAGTGGTACAAATAGGAAAATAAAACCCAAGGGAAAGATTTGCACTGATCATAAAATGTCAGCAAATTCCTTCATTTCTAAAACCAGGCTTCAGAGAAAAAATAAATAAAAGCAAAGATCTAAAATAAGAACACTTAACTATGAAATTAAATGATGGGGCTAACTTTAAAATTTTGTGATTGGTGACATAGATACTAGCTGAGCCAAAACATATATGTTTATCTGTTTGGCATGTTGGAATCACAAGAAAATTATTTACCTATATTCTGGCATTGAAGTTTCTATATCTAGTCCACTAAAGCTACTGACTTGGCATACAAGAATGACAATATCATGGCACAATATTGAGGCTTCGAAGAAATCATCTAGCATAAGGGAAGAAATTGAACATTACCTACTATTGGCAATGGGAACTTAGGATTGCAGGTCAGCAGTGGTTCTGGAAATTGGGTGGAAGCTGATGCTGGAACCAATCATGACCCACTCATCTTGAGAGCAATAAATGTCTTACAACAAATTAAAATGACATCTCACTAAAAGGTGTTACACTTTTTTGCTCAAGTATCTCTAACATGGATTTTGCTACATGAGAGTAATATAGAAGAGAAATCATCTGTGAAGAAGATGTATTGGCCCATCAGGACAGTGACATAATGACATAGATCAGGACTGAGAACAACAGTAGTGAAGGTGGAATGGCAGTAGGAGTTAACTAAAAGAACACAGACCCATTTATGAGTTCATGAAAGACACCAAACAATACTTTGCAGTAAAGAGAGTGGAAATATAAAGTGAATGAAGCCTTACTTCATAGTTACTAAGAATGTTAGTCATTCTAATATTTATGGGGAAGGTAGTAAAAAGTCAAACCTAGGAAAGATTTTTTTTTAATCTGCATTCCTTATACACTACATTTCTAAAATTCTTAAATGAGTTCTTAGCTAAAGAAGCCAGGTTCCTTGAGTATGAAGAATCACCCTTAGTCTAAGACCATTTATGTCAAGAAATACATGGCTCTAAATGTTGAAGCAATTCATATGAATGGTTGTTGAGGCTCTGTAGGAATCATGGGTACTACAATTGGCTGTACTTTGGGGGAAGTGCTTTGCCAATTCATTGGGAATAAATTTTTAGGTACTGGCTGGAATGTGTTAATGAGACAGAAAAAGAGTAGCAGTTGTCATAAAAACTCAGAAGGCAATTGTGAAATATTCATGTACCACTGATTCCTTTATGTGACCTGGCAGTAAATCATTTTTTAGCAGCAAACAGAAGTCTACAGATACTTAAATAAGCATGATTAAAGGTGAGCATAGGTTAATTTTCTGAAGCTCAACAGAAGGTAAGTATAAAAGCCTTTATGCCATGCATTGTTTAGAAATCTTATTCTCTAAACAATAAAAATATAGGGCTCATAGCTATAGGTGCACCTGAGGTGCAAGAAAGATATAGCCCCAGGTAGGCTGATGGCTACTCTCTCAGCCAGTAAGATCTTTGTCAAAGCAGAGAGACTGGCTCTGGAGACATTAGTTAGGAAATAAGGGCTCAGTCTGTCCAAATTTCAATTATCAGGGTGCTGCCTTTGAACCAATGATGCCTTGATGCCCAGACTTACAGTTCCACATGGCAGGGGAGGTCTCACAATCATGGTGGAAGGCACGGAGGAGCAAGTCACGTCTCACTTGGATGGCAACAGGCAAGAGAGGCAACTTGTGCAAGGGATCTCCTCTTTTTAAAACCATCACATCTCATGAGACTTATTCACTATCATGAGAACAGCATGGGAAAGACTTGCCTCCAGGATTCAATTACCTCCAACTGGGCCCCTCCCACAACATGTGGGAATTCAAGATGAGATTTGGGTGGGAACACAGACAAACCATATCATTCTGCCCTTGGTCCCTCCCAAATGTCATGTACTCACATTTCAAAACCAATCATTCTTTCCCAACAGTCCCCCAAAGTCTTAACTCATTCCAACATTAACTCAAAAGTCCACAGCTCAAAATCTCATCTGAGACAAGACAAGTCCCTTCCACCTATGAGCCTGTAAAATCACAAGCAAGTTAGTTACTTACTAGATACAATGGGGACACAGGCATTGGGTAAATACAGGTGTTCCAAATGTGAGAAATTGGCAAAAACAAAGGAGATACAGCCCTAGGCGAATCCAAAATTCAAGTCAAAACTTAAAGCTCCAAAATGATGTTCTTTGACTTCATGTCTCACATCCAGATTACACTGATGTAAGAGGTTGGTTTCCGTGGTCTTGGACAGCTCCAGGACTATGATTTTTCAGGGTAAAGCCTCCCTCCCAGCTGCATTCACAAACTCTCATTGAGTGTCTGTGGGTTTTCTAAGCACACAGTGAAAGCTGTCAGTGGATCTACCACTCTGGGGTCTGGAGGATGGTGGCACTCTTTTCACAGCTCCACTAGCTGGTGCTCCAGTAGGGACTCTGTGTGTGGGCTCTGACTCCACATTTCCCTTCCACACTGCCTTAGCAGAGGTTCTCCATGAGAGTCCTGCCCCTATAGCAAACTTCTGCCTGGATATCCAGGCACTTCCATACATTTTCCAAAACCTAGGTGGAGACTCCCAAACCCCAATTCTTGACTTCTATGCACTCACAGGCTCAACACCACCTGGAAGCTACCAAGGCTTGGGGTTACACCCTCTGAATTCACAGCCTGAGCTGTACCTTGGCTCCTTTTACTCATGCCTGAAGTGGATGTGATGCAGGGCACCAAGTCCATAGACTACACAGCATGAAGACCCTGGGCCTGGCCCATTAAACCATTTTGTCCTCCTAGACCTCTGGGCCTGTGATGGGAGAGGCTGCCATGAAGACCTCTGACATGCCCTGGAGAAATTTTCCCCATTGTCTTGGGGATTAATATGCAGCTCCTTTTTACTTATGCAAATTTATGTTTCTGGCTTGAATTTCTCCTCAGATAATGGGATTTTCTTTTCTATCTCATTGTCAGGCTGCAAATTTTCCAAACTTTTATACTCTGCTTCTCTTAAGAAACTGAATGCCTTTAACAGCACCCAAGTCACCTTTTGAATATTTTGCTGCTTAGACATTTCTTCTGCCAGATACCCTAAATCATCTATCTCAAGGTCAAAGTTCTACCAATCTCTAGGGCAGGGGCCAAATGCCACCAGTCTCTTTGCTAAAAAACATAACTAGAGTCATCTTTGCTCCAGTTCCCAAAAAGTTCCTCATCATCTGAGACCACCTCAGTCTGGACCTTATTGTTCATATCACTATCAGCATTTTTGTCAAAGCCATTTAACAAGTCTCTAAGAAGTTCCAAACTTTCCCACATTTTCCTGTCTTCTTCTGAGCCCTCCAAATTATTCCAACCTCTGCCTGTTTCCCAGTTCCAAAGTCTTTTCCACATTTTTGGGTATCTTTTCAGCAGCACCCACTCCTGGTACAAATTTACTGTATTAGTTCATTTTCACACTTCCGATAAAGACATACTCAAGACTGGGCAATTTACAAAAGAAAGAGATTTAATGAATTACAGTCCCACATGGCTAGGGAGGCCTCACAATTATGGTGGAAGACAAGGAGAAGCAAATCTCATCTTATGTGGATGGTGGCAGGCAAAGAGAGAGAACTTGTGCAGGGGAACTTTTTAAAAAAAATTAGATCTGCTGAGACTTATTCACTATCATGACACAGCACAGTAAACACTTGTCCCCATGATTTCAAGTGTCCTCATGATTACCTCCTACCAGGTCCCTCCCACAACACATGGGAATTCAAGATGAGATTTGGGTGGAGACACAGCTAAACCATATCACCCTACTGTGACATTTCCTATTAATGGATATTCATTATGGGTACTTAGTGAAATACTTCAAACCAAATGTGGGATGGGAACAGATATAAGTATATTTGGAAGTCTGTGGAGAAGGTTGCAGAAGTAGGGGATCCTCTGAGAGTGTTAGGGATGATAGAGTCTGGTAGGATGACTGTGATAAGACAACTATTGCAGTTCTCAAACTTTTGGTCTTAAGATTCCTTTATACTCTTAAAAAGTATTAAGTACTGTGAAGATACTCTCAGTTCATGACATTCATAGTCAGTGATATTCTGGGGCCAGCACTTAGTGACCAATAAAACCTAATCATGCTATGCCTCTCTTCTCAAAATTACATTCAGTTATGTTACTTGGTAGCTTGAAATCAATCCTGGTAGGAATATTCACACAGTGGAAATTGAGTTGCAAATGTAAAAATCAGGGCTTTATTTATTTATTTATTTTTAAAGCCAGTTTACCAATCTCTATGATTTAGTATATCAGAAATTAAACAGAAATTGTTAAACTTTTATTTTAGGTTCAGGGATACATGTGCAGGTTTGTTATACAGGTGAACTGACATGCAGATTATTTCATCACCCAGGTAGTAAGCATAGTAACTGGTAGGTAGGTTTTTCAGTTCTCATTCTCTGCTCTCCCTCTGCCCTCAAGTAAGCCCCTGTGTCTGTTGTTCACTTCTTTGTGTCCAAATATACTCAGTGTTTATCCCCCACTTATAATTGAGAACATGCTGTATTTGGTTTTCTGTTCGTGTGTTAGTTCACTAAGGATAATGGCCACCAGCTCCATCTGTGTTCCTTCAAAGGACAGGATCTCACTTTTTTGATGGCTGCATAGTATTCCATGGTGTATATGTATCAGATTTTCTTTATCCAGTCTACCATTGATGGATATTTATGTTGATTCCATGTCTTTGCTATTGTGAATATAAACTGAGGAATTTTTAAAACATAATACACAAGCACATATGTGGGCTCTGAAAAACTCTGTTGTGAACTCATGGAAGAAATAAAAAGGTAAACAAACAATTTCTTAGTGTTATTATATAAAAATAGTTTTAATTATGTGGACCTTGAAAGGATTTTGGAGGGCCCCTCTAGTCCCCATTTCACATATTTGGAAGCATTTTTAATACCATGGTAGCTAGAATCTGATTTTATCCCAGTCATTCCTCCTGTGACCTGTGGACAAAGAAAAAAAGCATGTAAGCATAAACATAAGCAAAATACCTATATCATTATTTTCTTAAAACTTAATAGCCAAGAGAGCTAGATTGTGGGATTTCCTTATCTAAAAATAACAACAAAGAGTCATCTTGCTTCTGAATTAAGTGACGCCTAGGCGATTGCTTGTTTATTGCACCTCAAGGTAGAAAACATGCATGAGAAATTTGCCACAATCTTCAGTGATCTTTGTGTTGGGGTAGGAAACACAAGTGGTTATAGTATTGGTATTGCTCAGATCAATAAAAATAATCTAATATGACACAGATGTGTTTGGAATACAGGATGCTTTAGTGACAGAAAGAGTGATAGAACTTCAGGTTACAGAAATCATTGAAAAAAGAAGTCAGGACAGATGCATAAACTATGAAAATATCAACCTAAGGGATGCCAACAAATACTTGGATGAACATTGTCTTACTAACTGCTGACATTTTATGTAATTAGTAGATGAGGGCTGAACCCTAGTGAAATTAGCTATACTCATAGAAGATTTTATTGGTATTGATGAACATGGTTTGCCTATAGGCAATTAAGATTTATCTAGAGCAATTATTTTCAAACATTTTCACAACATAATTGAAATAGTTCTCTATTGCTATGTAACAAAGGACCACAAACTTAACATCTTAAAACAACATACATTTATCATCTCACAGTTAGCTTAGCTGTCTTCTACTCAGTTCTCATAGGGCTGCACTCTCATCCTGAGTCTCAACTGAAGAAGAGGCTGTTAGAATTTTTTTCTTTTCTTTTCTTTTCTTTTCTTTTTTCTTTTCTTCTTTTCTTCTCTTCTCTTCTCCTCTCCTCTCCTCTCCCCTCCCCTCCCCTCCTGTCCTCCCCTCCCCTCCTCCCCTCCTCTCCCCTTCCCTTCCCTTGCCTTCTCTTTTCTTTTCTTTTTTTTTAGACCGAGTTTCGCTCTTGTTACCCAGGCTGGAGTGCAATGGTACAATCTCAGCTGACTGCAACCTCAGCCTCCTGGGTTCAAGCAATTCTCCTGCCTCAGCCTTCTGAGTAGCTGGGATTACAGGCGCCTGCCACTATGCCTGGCTAATTTTTGTATTTTTAGTAGAGACAAGGTTTCACCATGTTGGCCGGCTGGTCTTGAACTCCTGACCTCCGGTGATCCACCCACCTCAGCCTCTCAAAGTGCTGGATTGCAGGTGTGAGCCACCATGCCGGCCCAGAATTTATTTTCTTGTGTTTGTAGGACTGAGGTCCTGCTTCTTGCTGGTTATCAATTAGAAGTCACCCTCAGCATCTAGACATTATCTAGAGAACATCTACATTTCTCAGAGGCTGTTTGCAGTTTCCAGAGTCTGGGTGCAACAAGCTTGTTTCCTCAACATGGCTACTACTTTATTAAGATGAAAAATAGAACATCTAGAGCAAATTTGCTAGCAAGATGCAGTTTTATATAACATAAAATAATTACAGGAGTGACATCTCATCACTTTTGCAACATAATGTAATATGTAATAGACTAAGGTGACTTTTTAAAATCAGTATTATTTTGGTTAGAAGAAACTCACAGGCACTGCTCACATCCCAAGTAAAGGGATTATATAAGGACATGAGTACAAGAGTTAGGGCAATTCGGGGTTACCTCAGGGGCTGTCTTTCTACCACAATGGCACTCAGAGAAGCTAATGATGTTTGTAAAGATAATGGGGAAGTCAGGGCACAGTGGCTCATGCCTATAATCCCAGCACTTCGGGAGGCTGGGATGGGTGGATCACTTGAGTTCAGGAGTTTGAGTCCAGCCTGACCAACATTGTGAAACCCAGTCTCTACTACAAATACAAAAAGCTGTGTGTGGTGGCAGGTGCCTATAATCCCAGCTACTGAGGAGGTTGAGGCAGGAGAATCGCTTGAACCTGGTAGGCAGAGGTTGCAGTAGGCTGAGATTGTGCCACTGCACTCCGACCTAGGCAACAGAACCAGACTCTGTCTCAAAACAACAACAACAACAAAAAAAGATACTAGGGAAAATTATAGAATATGTGGGGCGTGGGGCTTTCATATGGGGTTTGCAAAAAAAGTTATATCAATTAATTACCATCAAAATGTAATCATAAAGTATTAGGAAAATGTTAAATTATATATTTTATAAAATTAAAAAGATAAATGTTTAAATAAAATTGGAATGTGTTTTTGTTCACATAAAATTTTTATATAAGGTTAGAAATATTCAGAAGATATGGGAAATATTCACAAGATATTGCTTATGAAGGTTTTTAATGATGATCTCTTCTAATTCTTGAAAGTGACCATCAGGAGAAACTTTGCTCAAACAGAAAGGTGATAAAATATTTAACATTCTTTTTATACCCACTGAAAAATTTAGATCATTAGAAATTATTTTTAAAGGATCTAACAGCTCTGCTTTTTTTTCATGACATGTAAAAAGTGGAAGGTTCTTGTGATAATGTAAATTGATTTCAAATTTCATGGAAATTTTTACATCAAATATATCAAGCCAACTAATGAAGTTCCAATTTGCAGCACATGTACATATTATTAGAAAGCCACCCTGAACCTGGCTTATATGCCACTAGGATGACACATCAAACACAGAATGGATAGACATACCTGATTTATCAGATGACAGCCATTTGGGTCAACCTCTAAACTTTACTTACCAGGAACTCCTCACCATATCCCTTTGGGTTGGATATTGATCTTTTTGGGGTATCTGAAATGAGATTTTTTCAATATCTCCATATACTTATTTTCTACCAAGGTGTTTTCTTCAATTTACTCCTGAAAAAAAGTTTCCAACAAGTAAAAACTCTTTCTTGGCTGTCTTTGGCATACTATGTTTGAGCAGCATATACTAATTTTTTCTTTCATGAGAATACCTCAGAGACTGCCATTAAACCTCATTTTGTTTGGTCTGTGCTCTGAGAGATTAGGATGAAGAAAATTTAGCCTAAGATGGCCAGGTTAGCAGCCTCAATAGGTGGCCTCAACCAAGCCAAGCCTCCCCACGTAGCCCAAGGCCAAAAAGAATCTGTAGACTTCAGTAAAACTCACATTTATAATCTACCAGTGGGCAGTTATTCTGGCATAGCACAAATGCCATTTAAACAAGTAAACCAACAGCCTAGATTGATGTTATTTTTGGACAAGTGTTGCATAAACTTGCAAAACTTTGACTAACACAGAAAAATAATTCAAAAGAAACGACTGACATGAGCCAACTTAGAAAGAACCTTTGGAATATTTTGGTGAATATTTTTGTAAATACTTCACTTTGTGTATAAGTAGAAATGGGCAGGTATATAAACAAAAAGATATGAAAACATAGTAAATATTTACATAGGCAGAATAATGCCAGGTATGCTACTGCTTTCAAACACCAGTATGTTGTAAGCAGCTTTTCCTTTTCTATAAATATTCCTAACATGATGTTAATATTAGAGAATTAAATTTATATGTCATAATTTGATTAATTATCTCTCCTAATTAAAGAGCATATCTATATTTAATTTCCTTACACTTAAAAATTATTTGAATTTCTCAGAGAATTAATATAATATTGTGCATTTTGGTGTATATTGCCAGCCTTTTCACCTGAAGTGTTATATTTTCACTTCTGCCAAGATAGGGTGAAGCATTCTTTTTTACCTAACTCTCACAAATGCCAGTTTTACTCAGTCTTTTCCATTTTTGTTAATCAGGCATATATTGTTCTAGGCCCTTCTGAAGTGCTAGTTATCATTACAGTAATTACTTTAAATAGCAAATCAGTTCTTTCAACATTATTTATTGATTCACATTGCTTTTTCAATAACTTGAAGTATTTTTGTTAGAGATTGGTAAATGTCCTGCAAAAATTATGTTCTTCTCCTCATTCTGGGGACATAGCCAGACTGTACTTCTTAGTTTCCCCTTGCGGTTAGGAGAAACCATGTGACTGAGTACTTGCAAATGGTATTTAAGCCAAAGTAATGTATGCCATTACCTAATATTATATAATACATAATGCATTATGAGAGTGCTTAATCACAGTATTAGTTTACAAAGGCTGCTATAACAAGTTACCTCAAACTTGGTGGCTTATAACAACAGAAATTTCTTCTTTCACCGAGATGGAGGATAGAATCAAAGCAATGGCAGCACCATGCTTCCTCTGAAGGCTTCAGAGAATAATATTTTCTTGCTTTTTCCTAGTTTGTGGTGGCTCCTAGCAATTCTTGGAGTTCCTTGGCTTATAGATGCATAACTCCAATCTCTGCCTCCCTCTTTACATGACATTATTCTCCATATGTCTCTTTTGTTCTCTCCTCTTCTTATAAGGAAGCTAGTCATAGGATTTAGGACCCACCTTAAATCTAGGGTAATTTCATTTACAGATATTTAACAAACTGCTTCTGAAAAATTCCCTTTCAAACAAGGTTACATTCTGAGGTTGTTCCAGGTGGTGACTTTTTAAAGAAGACTATTCAATCCATTACAATAACCATGACTCCCAGATGGTACAATATCTATGCTCTTTCATGGCCAAATGAAGTTGGTAACCATCCCCTAGGCTAGTGACTGTCAAACTTTATCGCACATCAGAATCAACTGGGAGAGCATGTTAAAACAAACAGAATGCTGGCCCTCAACACTACAGTTTCTGATTCAGTAAATCTGAGATGGGGGCCAATATTTGCATGTCTAGCAAGTCCCCTGGTGCTGCTGGTGCTGCTAGTCTGATATTACACTTTGAGGATCAGTGACCAAAAATACAAGAATATCGCAATATGACAGAGCATGGAACAAAACCCTCTACTGAACAAAAAATACTTCTTTAACTTTTACATTGGAAAGAAATAAATATATTTGATCTTATCCTACGCTGACCAAAAATCACTTCTTTCTCTATAATACTAAATTGCTATACATGCTGGGTATATCTCTGAACTATCTATTCTACTTCTTTAAGCTGTCTCTTCATGCATAATTACAACATTGTCTAAATTGCTGTACCTTCGTAAAATGTTTATACTCTGGTAGAGGAAAGACTCTCCTGCTACTTTTGTTTCTCTCAAATTTCCTACTATTTGTTATACTTAACTGTACAAGTACCACTCATATATTTTTATCAGGTTCAAAGTGTTTTAACTATTAGATTTTCAAATAGGATTAAAATACAATTAAACAACAGTTTGGGGAATATTGGTATCTTTATATAACTGAATTTTCTAAGAATGAGCATATATCTACATTTATTTGGAATTCTCCTACCTCTAATAGAATTTTAATATTTTCTTTATATAGGAAATATGAATTTCTTTTTTCTTTCTTTCTTTTTTTTTTTTTTTTTTTTTGAGACGGAGTCTCACTCTCTCTCCCAGGCTGGAGTGCAGTGGCGCAATCTCGGCTCACTGCAAGCTCTGCCTCCCGGGTTCACGCCATTCTCCTGCCTCAGCCTCCCGAGTAGCTGGGACTACAGGCGCCCGCAC
The DNA here is from genome assembly GCF_000001405.40 of Homo sapiens. Taxonomy (NCBI): domain Eukaryota; kingdom Metazoa; phylum Chordata; class Mammalia; order Primates; family Hominidae; genus Homo; species Homo sapiens. The sequence goes on along the minus strand of NC_000011.10, from coordinate 37,687,757 downwards.
CATGCCCGGCTAATATTTTGTATTTTTAGTAGAGACAGGGTTTCACCGTGTTAGTCAGGATGGTCTTGATCTCCTGACCTCGTGATCCACCCGCCTCGGCCTCCCAAAGTGCTGGGATTACAGGCATGAGCCACCGCGCCCGGCAGAAATATGAATTTCTTAAAATTAAGTATTTGTTGTTTTTGTGAATTGAGCTCTTTTTGTGCATTTTGTTTTCTAACTTGTTGCTGTTATAAAGTAAAATTTCAGATACTTGTATTATATTCTGCTCTATCAGTAATCTTCAGAAGATTTTTGTTTTCTCTCAGCCTTTCAGCTGAGTCAGATATCCAAACATATTGACTTAACATCAGTAAATAATGATAATTTTGTTTCATTTTTGTCAATAGTTCTTTCATCCCTTATTTATTCTGGTTCATTTGCCTAGTGCTTCCAGGATAATATCACATAGTTCTGGTAATTATTGTTTAAACTACCTAGCCTCTGCAAGGCTGAGATAACTTAGTAAAGCATAAAGTTTCTTTCTAACTAGAGTGTTGACCATGAAGCTTTGGTACAAGGCCCTACCCTTACTAAATCCTTACAAGCACCTGGATGTTCTGACTACATGCCATAGAATAGCAGCTATTCAACATAGGTGCATATATCCAAGGGGTTCTTAACGTGATAAACTGGGTTACAAGAAGAAAATATATCATAGAATTTTAGTGTATACATTTTATGTTACATTTTTAACTTTCATTTTGAGTGATTCATAACAGAAATGATAATTAAAATAATAATAGCTAGCATTTGTTAGGTGTTAGGTGTTCACTAGGCAATACATATTATTCCAGGTGCTTTACCTATATAGTTAATTTATGCTCATATTAAGTGTGCAGGTGAGACATATTTTTAATCTCCATTTTAAAAGTAAGAAAACCAAGCCACAGAGTTTATTTAACTTTTCCAAGGTATAGTAGAGAACCCAAGCTTCAAACCTCCATACACTGGACCCAGAGATAACACTCTAAATGTTTGCACTATTTTGTCTCTTCATACGTAATCTTAGTGTACAAAAAGTTTAACTGTTTATAAGTAAATGCATTCACATATATTGATGCATAATCAAAATGTCTTTCACTTCCTTCACATCTCTTCCAGGTCTTTCATCCCGTAGTTGTTCATAAGAGACTACCGTGCACATCATGACACAGTTGTTCCCATTTCAGTTTACAAAATATTAAGGTCATCATACCAAAGATAATGGAGCCTTGAGTCAGCATTTCTCCAGTGTCCAGGCTTTTTACCTACTTATCTGTCTGGTAAATATGTGTTGCCAGTGTTCCAGATTTTCAAACAAACAAAAAATACCCCTTCACATTATATTTATCAATTTCTACCTACTACTTACCGTAATAAAACCTTTAATATATCACATGTAAAGACCCACTTATTTATTGTGTCATTGGTAATATTAACTTTCTGTCTCTGATATCAATCTGATCTTCTTTCCAGAATGTTGTATCTCAATTACTTTACACAGATAGTTATTCTGAGTATTACGGACATCATATATATAATACAAATATCTTCATCATATATATAATATATATATATCTTCATCATATATATATATTTATTTATTTAAATAATCTAAGGTCCTAATAGTTGTAGAATTTTTTTGCTTATGCATAATGATTGATGTCCCTGCAAAGGAAATGACTCGTCCTTCTTTTATGACTGCGTACTATTCCATAGTATATATGTATCACATTTTCTTTATCAAGTCTATCATTGATGGGCATTTGGGTTGATTCCAAGTCTTTGCTATTATTAATAGTGCTGCAGTAAACATATGTGTCCATGTGTCTTTGTAATAGAATGATTTATAAGCCTTTGGGTATATACCGTTCTTTATACATTTTGGTTATTAATCCCTTGTCTGATATGTAGTTTGAAAATATTGTCTCTGCTTCTATAGATTGTCTCGTCACTCTGTTGATTATTTCCTTTGCTCTGCAGAAGCTTTTTAGTTTGATCCAATTCCATTTTTCTGTTTTTGTTTTGGTCACCTATGTTTTGAGGTTTTCCCAAAATAAAATCTTTGCACAGACCAATGTCCTGAATGGTTTCTCCAGTATTTTCTTCTAGTAGCTTCATAGATTCACGTCTTATATTTAAGTGTTTAACTGATTTGATTTTATTTTTGTATATGATAAGAAATAGGGGTCCAGATTTATTCTGCTGCATATGGCTGTGAAATTTTGCCAGCATCATTTATTGAAGAGACTTTCCTTCCCCCACTGAATATTCTTGGTACTTTTGTCATAAATCAGTTGGCTGTAAATATGCAGATTTATTTCTGGGTTCTCTCTTCTGTTTTATTTGTGCATGTGTCTGCTTTTATGCTAGTATCATACTGTTTTGGATACTATGACTTTGTAGTACATTTTGAGCTCAGCTAGTGTAATGCTTCAAGCGTTGTTCTTTTCGTTCAGGATTTATTTGGATATTTAGGGTCTTACATGGTTTCACACAAATTTTAGGATTCTTTTTTCTATATCTGTGAAGAATTTCATTGGTGTTTTGATAGGAATTGCACTGAATCTATGATCATTTTAAGTATAGTATGGACATTACAGCAATATTAATACTTTCAATCCTTAACCATGGAATATCTTTCAATTTTTTGTGTGTATCCCCTTCAATCTCTTTAATCATCATTTTTCAGCATTTTACAATATCCTTTCTAGAGTTCTTTCACTTCTTTTTTTAAAATTTATTCTTATGAAATTATTTTGTAGATACAGTAAATGTGGTTGCTTTATTGATATTTTTTCCCAATTACTCACTGTTGGAATATATAAATGCATAAATGCTACTGATTTTGTGCATTGATTTTTTATTTTACAAGTTTACAAAATTCATTTATGAGTTCTAACAGTTTTTAGTGGTGTATGTAGATTTTTTATAAATATAATATTATGTTGTCTGTGAACAAAGATAAGTTTATCATTTTCTTTCCCATTTGGATGCCTTTCATTTCTTTTTGTTTCTTAATTGCATTGGTCAGGGCTTCCAGTACTTACTATGTTGAATTAAAGTGGCAAAAATTGGCATCCTTGCCTTTTTTCAAGTTTTAAAGGAAATGCTTTCAATTTATTCCCATTTTATATTCTGTAGGTATGTTATATACCTTTTATTGTTTTGAGATATATTTCTTCTATACCCAAAGTTGTTCTTATGAAGGGATGTTGAATTTTTTCAAATGCTTTTTCATCATCTCTTGAAATGGTCATATAGTTTTGTCTTGATTTTATTAATATGATGTATCATGTTTATTGATTTGCATATGTTGAACCATGCTTGCATACCTGAGATGAATCCTACTTGATCATAGTGAATGGTCTTGTTAATGTGTTTTTCAATTCTGTTTACTTTTGTTGAGGATTTTTAAATCTATACTCATTAGGGATATTGGCTTGTAGTTTTTTGTTTTGTTTTGTTTTTAATTCATATCTTTATCCGGTTTTGGTATCAAGGTAATGCTGGCCTCATAGAATGAATTTATCAATATTCCATTTTCTTCAGTTTTTTTGGAATAGTTTGAATAGGATAGGTGTTAGTTCTTTAAATGTTTGCTAAAATTTAGCAGTGAAGCCATCTTTGACAACAGTCCTTGACTTTTCTTTGATGCTTGACTTTTAATAACTGCTTTGGTCTCTTTACTTGTTATTGACCTATTCAGGGTTTCTATTTTTCCAAGGTTCCATTTTGGTAAGTTTTTCGTGTCAAATAATTCATTCATTTATCCCAAGTTTTTTAATTTCTTGGAATATAGCTGCTCATAATAGTATCTAATGATATTTTGTGTGGTATCACTTTAATTTTCTCCCTTCTTATTTCTGATTTTATTTATTTGGGTTTTTTTTTCTCCTTTTTTCTTTTAGTTACTCTACTTAGAGATTTGATGATTTTCTTTGTCTTTTTAAAAAACTAACCCTTTGTTTTAATGATGTTTTATATCATTTTTAGTCTCAAATTTATTTATTTATGCTTTAAAATTTATTATTTCCTTTCTTCTAGAAACTTTGTGAATGATTTGTTCTTGTTTTTCTAGTTCCTTGAGGTGCATCATTAGGTTGTTTACGTCTTTCTACTTTTTGATGTGAGCATTTATTGCTATAAACTTTCCTCCTATTACTGTTCTTGCTGAATCCCATAGATTTTAGTGTGCTGTATTTCCATTTTCATTTTTTCAAAAATTTTTTAAATTTTATTTTAAATGTCTTCATGACCCACTATTCATTCTGGAGCATGTTGTTTAATCTATGTCTTTGTACAGTTTCCAAAGTTTTTATTGTTATTGATTTTTAGTTTTATTCTGTGGTGGTCAGAAAAGATATTTTATATGATTTTGACATTTTTTGAACTTTTTGACCTGTTTTGTGGTCTAACATAATCTATCATGGAGAATGTTTCCTGTACTAATGAGAGGAATGTGTATTTAGCACTTGAATGAAATGTTCTGTAAATGTCAGTTGGGTCTATTTTGTCTAAAGTGTCGTTTACCTCCAATATTTCTTTGTTAATTTCCTTCTTGATGATCTGTCTTTTACTGAAAATGGGGCATTGAAGTTCCTGACTTTTATTGTATTGCAGTCTCTCTCTCTAGATTTAGTAATATTTGCTTTCTATATTTGGTGTTCTGGTGTTGGGTGCATAAATTGACAGTTGTTATATCCTCTTATCAAATTGATTCCTTTATAATTACATCATAAACTTCTTTGCTTCTTTTTACAGTTTTTGACTTGAATTATATTTTATTTGATATAAGTATAGCTACTGCTGCTCTTTACATCTTCCAGGGGAAGATTACCTTCCCCCTCCATCCCCTTTTCAGTTCCCCTTCCCACTGAGAGTCACTTTCACCGGCAATAAAATCCTGTATATTTACCATCTTCAAGTCATTCATGTGACCTCATTCCTCCTGGACTCTAGACAAGAACTTGGGTGCCACAAGAATGGGTGCAAAAAGTTGTCACACTGACCCTCCACTGAGCTATTAACACTTAAGCCGCCCATGGACAACAAAGCTAAAAGGGCACTGTAACACTTACTCTGGGGCTTCAGGGGTCATGGGCACACTCCCCCAAACACTGCTACAGTTTCAGTACAGAGCTTGCTCTTGTGGGCACCCAAAAGTGCTCGCCCCAGCTCCTGTACCTGCTAACCTGTGCTCCCCCTCCCACCAGGGGTGGAGCAGCGAGTTGGGGAAGTTTCCTCCTGCCAACACCCGTGCACTCTAGTTCCTGCCCATGAAGGGGTCAGGGAAATATCCTGCTTCACTAAGATAGGTTGTTTGAAAACAATAAGATGAAGAAAGAAAAAAAAATGAAGAACATTGTAAAATCTAGCAAATAACCTCAACAGAGCAAATATGAGTTATAGGCCTTCAAGAAAAAGTTGAGAAAGAGTAAGAGGTAAAAAGCTTATTCAAAGAAGTAACAGAAAACATTCCAAACCTAGAGAAAGATATAAATGTAGAGGTATAGAAAGATCAAAGATCATCAAACAGATTCAACATAAATAAGACTACCCCAAGGCATATAATGTTCAAACTCTCAAAGGTCAAAGGCAAAGAGAGGATCCTCAGACAGCAAGAGTCAAGAAGTAAATGACACATAAAGGAGCTCTGATACATCTGGCAACTGAATTCTCAGCAGAAACCACACAGGCCAGGAGAAATTGGGATGACATTCTAAGTGCTGAAAGAAAAAAAGCTGCCAACACATAACAGAGTACACAGAAAAGCTATCTTCCAAACATGAAGGAGAGATGAAGACATTTCCAGAAAACACAAACAAACAAACAAAAATCTGAGGGAATTCCTCACCACCAGACTTGTTTTATAAGAAATGCTAAAGGGAGTGCTTCAATGTGAATGAAAATGATGTTAGCATGCTGCAAAAAAATTCACTTGAAGATAAAAAAACTCACTAGTTGAAATAAGTACACAGAAAAATTCAGGGTACTCTAATACTGTAATTGTGGTATATAAACGACTCATAATTCTAGTATAAATACAATAAAGAAAATATATAAAAATAATAACTATACCAATTTGCTAAGAGATAGGCAATATAAACAATGTAAATTGAGACAACAAAAAGTCAAAATGTGTCTGGGAGAAAAAGTGTGGAATTTTTTAGTTTGTTATTTGTTTGCTTCTTTTTTTCTTTGTGATCAAAGTTTAGTTGTAATCTATTCAAAGTAAATTCTTATAACTGTGAGATGTTTTTTGTAAAACTCAAGTCAACCACATAGCAAAAAGCTATAATAGATACACTAAAAATAAAAAGCAACAAATGAAAACATACTACCAAAGAAAATCACTTAACCACAAAGGAAGAGAAAAAGAAAGGAAGAAAAGAGGAGAGAATTCACAAAACAACTAGAAAAAAGTAACAAAACTACAGTTGTAAGTCTTAGCTATGAATGAGAACATTGAATTTACATTCAAATGGACAAAATTATTCCATTGAAAGACATAGAGTGGCTGAATATTTTTAAAAATACACAACAATATGCTGCCTCTAAGAAACTCACTTCACCTAAAAAGACAAATATAGACTAAAAGTGAGAAGACGAAAAAAGTTATTTCATGCAAATGGAAACTAGCCGGACTCTTCTCTGAAGCTACACCATCAAGCTGTCCCTCTGATGTCAAACTGCTTCTCTCTGACGTCCAACCGTGGTTTCCAACGTCCAGCTGCTTCTTCTCTCTGCCGGCTGAGTTCTACAGTTTTTATGAGCGCAGGATGGGGGCCACAGTGGGCCATGTGTGGTTTTGGAAAAGGCAGCATTCAAGTGGGAAAACAGTGATGTATGATCTCATGTAGGCCTTGATATTAGGCTTTTCGGTTTAAGGGTAGGGTCCTCCCCTGGGGACCTGCCTTCTTCTGCCCAGAGTTTCCCTGCCTCCTGTCCCTATCATTAGAGCTCACCAAATCTTTCTTCTGTTTGATCAAGTCTGCTATTGAGGATCTCTGATTTACTTTTCAGCTCAATGTATTTCTTAGTTAAATTTTTTCTGTTTATTTTTAAATTTTTATTAATATTTTAATATCTGTTAATTTTTTCTGACAAATTTCTGAATCTTTTTTTGTGTAATCTTGGCATTGATGAGTTTCCTTAATATTGCTGTTCTGAATATTTATCTATGTCTTCACATTGAAGGATTATTTATTCCAGTCATTGTTCTCTGGGTTGGCTTGTTTTCTCTAGTGCATATGTGTTTAGAAGTTCTGTGCAGTTTTCCTGGTGATTTCCTTAGTCCTCAATTGCTGCCTCTTTTGTTGTACTAGATGGTGACCTAAGTCCAGGTTTGCTGTTGCTCTCACACTATATCAAAGTGCTGCCCTGATGGAAGGGTTCCAAGTGGGATTCCCAGTTTTTGTGGGGAGGCTGGCCACAATGCCCAAAGGGCTTGTGGAATACACTTCTTACAGCATGGTGCTGCTGAACCATCTCTCTGATTTGGTAATTTTTGTCTAAGAGGGAAATTAGCCCTAGAGTTTTGTGTGCTGAGGCTTTTAGCTCTACCTTCACTATCTGTCTCCAGCTGCCCTCAGGAATCCCTCTCCTTACAGGCACTTGCAACGCTGTCTGTGGGTTGAGACAGGAGCAGCTTTCCTGCATAGAAACCAAAGATAATGGGGGCTGGCTGCCTCAATCTCACTTTTTCTAGTGTAGAAACTGTGAGCTCAGGGAATTTTCCACTAAAAGTTTGGAGGAGGGGCATTGCACCTGAAAGTTTGGGAAAAGGGTATTGAGGATAGATAAATCACTTCTCCTTCCTCCTCCTCACAGTTTTTCATTTCTCTGTTGCCCATGTTTTGTCATAGCCTCAGCTTTGAGTTCTGGGATATTGGTGGTAACAGTCTTGTCACCTAATAGTTGTTTTTAGTTTTCTGTTGGGGAGAGTGAAAACAGATTGCTTCTGGACAACTCTGATTGTGAACATTTTTTATTAATTTTTTTACCAACCTTTCTCAGTAAAAAGCCAAGCTTTTCAATCACATGTACTATTTTTTTATTCAATGTGAAACCCAGTTGTGTGCATATATATATATATATAAAACTATAATATATATACACATATACATACATAACTATATATACACATATACATAAACATATATATGTATACACAGATACATATATATAAAACATTTTATGTTTACCTACACATATATATACACACGGAGCATTAGTAGGTAGCTCTCAAAATTATTGCCAGAATTAAAAGAGGTAAAGCATTTAATGTACCTAGAACAATCCTTAGAACATAGAATGCATTTAGTAAATGTTGGTACCTCTCTATATTAATGTAGATCCTCCTTGATGTGAGATTATTATATTGGAATAAAGTCCATCTATAGTTTCTAGCACAGTATCTGGTACAAATAAGAACACCATAAGCAATGCCTATTATTACTATTATAATCATCATCAGTATCATCCTCATCTTCCTGTTAATTATCACCCATCATCAACACCATTATTTAATGCCCGTTAATGTAGCTGACACACAGAGAAAAATATTTAAAAACTTGTTTCATTCTAACTCCTGCTTTTCCTCCTCTAAGAGTCATACTCATCCTCAATTAATTCTCAATCATTCTGAAGTACCATATAGCTGCAATATCTAAAGCAAACCTTAGAATTAGAGAAGACTATATTTTAAGACAGGAAACAATAACACTATGCTGTAGTTCAATATTATTGTTTCTCTTTTCCCTTTGAGCTACTGAAATGTGTATTGCAAATTTGGATCAACTTCTATCTTTCTAAATCTTTAGACAACTACTGAAGACTTCTAGATCCCTGCCTTTTATATAGCAACGTATTATAAAATATCTTTCATTGACTATGTAAAAATATTTTTAAATTGACAAAAATTGTAAATATATAGGGTGTATAACATGGTGCCTTGATACGTGTATACATTGCAGAATGGCTAAATCAAGCAATTAACATATGCATTGCCTCAAATGATTATCTTTTTTTGTGGTGAGAACACTTAAAACCTACACTCAGCAATTTTCAAGTATATAATACACCATTATTAATTATATTCACTAATTAATTATACAATTAAGCTGTTGAATTTATTCTTTCTCTTTAACTGAAAGCTTGTATCCTTTGACCAACATTTTTTTCCAAGCTGCCTCTATTCCAGGACCTCCCAATGGTCCTGGCCCCTAGGTAACCACTATTCTACCCTCTTTTTTTATGAATTTGACTACTTTAGATTTCCTATATAAGTGAGATCAGGCAGTATTTGTCTTTCTATGTGTGGTTTATTTTACTCAGCATAATATCCTCCAGGTACATCCATGTTGTCAGAAATGACAGCTTTGTTGTTATTGTTGTTGTTGTATCTGACTAAGTAGTTCATTTTGCACGTACCACATTTTCTTTTTTCATTCATTCACTGATGAGCAATGAAGTTGAGTCCATAGCTTGGCTAGTGAAAATAATGCTTCAGTGAACATAGGAGTGCAGATATCTTTTCAACACACTAATGTCAAATCTTTTGTATCCTTTGACCAACATTTCTGGGTATTTTGGTAATACCCAGAAGCGGAATAGCTGGATCATAGGATAATTCTATCACTAATTTTTTAAGAAACTTTATACTGTTTTACATAATGGCTGTAGTAATTTATACTGTCACCAACAATGAGTTTCCTTTTCTCCATATCCTCGCCAACTCTTGTTATCTTTCATTCTTTTTTTGTCTTTCTTTTCTTTTTTTAGACAGGGTCTAACTCTGTCATCCAGGCTGAAGTGCAGTGCTGTGCAGTGGTGTGATCTCGGCTTACTGCAACCTCTGCCTCCCAGGTTCAAGCTATTCTCCTGCTTCAGCCTCTGGAGTAGCTGGGATTACAGGCCTGGGCCACCATGTCCAGACATTCACCCCTTTAAATAATAGCCACTATAACAGGTGTGAGGTGATATCTCATTGTGGTTTTTATTTGTGTTTCTCTGATGATTAATGACATTGAACTTTCAAAAATATATCTGTTGACCATGTGTATGTCTTCTTTAAAAAAATCTATTAAGTTTCTTTGCCCATTTTTAAATCAAGTTATTTGTTTTCATGCTATTTAGTTAAATTCCTTGTATATTTATGATATTAACCCATTTTCAGATATATGGTTTGCAAATATTTTCTCTCATTCTATAGCTTGCCTCTTTACTCTGATTCTTTTGCTATGCAGAGCTTGGTCATTGGATACAATCCCATTTGTCTATTTTTTGCTTCTGTTGTCTGTGTTTTGGGGGATATAGTCAGAAAATTATTGCCTAAAGTGATATCATTGTGTTTTCCCCTGTGTTTTCTTTTAGTATTTTTATAGTTTAAGGTCTTATATTTAAGTCTTTAACCCTTTTAAGTAAGTTTTTTTTCATGTGTATAGAGTGAGATAAGGGTCTAATTTCATTCTTCTCCACATGTTTTTTCAACACCATTTATTGAAGAGACTGTCCTTTTCTCTTTGTGTGTTCTTGGCAACTTTGATGAAGATCAGTTGATTGTGGATTTATATGGGGGCTCCGTATTCTGTTCTATTGGTTTATGTGTTTGTTATCTATGCCAGTACCATGCTGTTTCCATTACTATTGCTTTGTAGTGGATTTTGAAATCAAATTGTGTGATGCTAGCCAGGTTTTTTTCTTTTTGCTCAAGATGGCTTGAGCTAGTCAAGGTGGGACAACTTAATTTTAACCTGCACATATCAATTTAAGTCTGTGAATCAGTGTGAATCACCAGGTGCCTAGTTAGCCACTGTTTATTGTCCTAAAGCTGTACTCACCCATCCTAAAAGTGTTCACTGGAAATTATCATGATTAAGGGCATGTTCTGTTTAGTAGAGGGCTAAATGTGTTCTATTTTAGTTTTGAGGCTTAAATTTCTCATTCTTCTCTGCTGAAAAGCAATGTTCCCTTTAACTACTTGTTTATGACATGTAATTAGTATCTACCAGTTTTGTAATGTTAATAAAGAGTAGAGTCAACTTTAATCATTGCAATTCTTTCATTCTGTGATAGCTCTGTTTTACAATACTTATAAACTTATTAATTAAAGTGCATCACAGAGGAAAGTGGGCAGAATTGATTCCTTAATAAAACAGAATAGAAATAGGCAGTATGCTGTAATTCTCCTGACCAAAACATACTCGTATGGGCTTCAGGCAAATAAGAGGTAAGTGGTTTACTGTGAATATAAGGAGAGCATCTTTAGTTGCTTTGCTGGGTAGCAATCAACCAACATAGCTCAGTGGGATACATAATAGGCATCTATTCAGCTTAGAGTGGGCTCAGCTAAATGGCTGTAAGCTGCAGACTGTTTCTGTGAATACTGCATGTGTTTCCCATCCTTCTTGGATCAACAGCCTATCTGGGGCATGTTCTTCTCAGGGCAATGACAGAGGCAAAAGTGGGCAACTAAAAAAAAAAAATATATATATATATATATATAATATTTATGTATATATGTACTATATATATATTTTTTCTATGTCTTGGCCTTAATAAACAACATATATATATTGCCTTAATAAACATATATATACATATATTGTCTTGATAAACAACATATATATACATGTTGTTTATTAAGGCAATGGCATGGAATGTTTCACTACCAGCTTCCACTGGGTGAAGCAACTCACCTCACTGAGCTCACACCATAGGGACAGGGTAGTATACTCAGCCTCTTGAGGAGGGGCAGCAGTAACATGAAAAAGAACATGGACACAGATGGATACAGAAATGGCTAAAAAAATGAAGAAGAAAAGAAAAACAAAACAAAACAAAACAAAACAAAAAAAGGACCATTGATACAGTTCAAACGTTTAGTCCCCTCCAAATCTCATGTTGAAATGTGACCTCCAACGTAAACGGTGGGCCTAGTGGGAGGTGTTTAGGTCATGGGGGCAGGACCCTCATGAACGTCTTGATACTGTCCTCGTGATAATGAAAGAATTCTCACTCTGTGAGTTCGCATGAGATCTGGTTGTTTAAAAAAGGCTGGAAACTCCTCCCTTTCTCTTTTGCTCCCTCTCTTGACATGTGACAGAAAGAGGCTGCCCTTTGCTTGTCACCATGATTGTAAACTTGCTGAGGGAGCACTAGAAGCAGTGGTGGCACTTTGCTTCATGTACACACTGTGGCACAGTGGCACTGTGCTTCATGTACACACTGAGGAAACATGAGCCAAATAAACCTGTTTGCTTTATAAATTGCCAATTTCAGCTATTCCTTTACGACAATGCAGATAGACTTATAGGGAAAATAATAGGGACAATAATTCAGTCTGCCTTATAGAGCAACTGCCAAGCATCTAAGGTACATCTCTTCTCTTTCTTTTACTTTTCTCTTGTTTTCTATTCTCTTCTTTTCCTTTTTTCCTTCTCTCATTTCTTCCGCCTCCGTTCTATTTCCTCAAGAATCTGTTTTTCCTTCCAAGATGATATTCAAATTCTTTATGTGGATATATATGGAGGAAAACTGGGTGTCTAATTATCCATTTCAGATTTACTGTTTCCATAAAGTATTATTTCATGACACAATCTTTGATATATCCATGTTCTGTCCATTTATATTGGACTATATTTCCCCAATGTAATAATTATATTAATGAAGGCTATAAGAAAACTTTATTGAACTTTTAGTACTTATCAGAAATTTTGTTTACCCTCCTATGCATGAGTTCCTTTGTGCAGGCCTCCAAAGTAGGTACTCTTATTATCCCTATTTTACACATGAGGAAACTAAGGCTTAGAAAGAGGTGAAGGAAATTTCCTAACTTCCCACAATTAGAAAATGTTAAAACTCAAATTCAATCTATATCTGTGTAACCACAGAATTTCTATTTCTCAACATTCTACCAGTCATAAGATACTACATTATAATCACCTGCTTTTTATTTTCCACTTTGTTAAAGCTCAAATACTTCAGGAAATGGAATTTTGCAGGTTTTCAAAAGTAATCCTTGATAATAATTTCTGTGGTTGACCAAATAATGGCTGCCCAAAGATGTCTACATCCAAATCCCCACCAAAAACCTGTGAATATATGGCTTTATATGATAAAAATGACTTCACATATGTGATTAAGTAAAGGATCTTGATAAAGGAGGGATTATTCTTAATTATCTAAGTGGGCCCAATGTAATTACAGGTGTCTTTATAAAATAGAGAGGAAAAGATAAGTGTCAGAAGCCAAAGATGTGATGAGATGTGATGAAAGAAGCAAGAGCCTCCATTCTGTCACTAACTCAAGTAAGGGGCCCTGAACCAAGGAATGAAGGCAATCTCCAGAAGCTGAAAAAGGTAAGGAAATGGATTATCCTATGAAAATTCTGGAAGAAAATTTTGGAAGAATTCAGAAGTCTTGAGTTTAGACTTCTGATCTCCAGAACCACAAGAGCTTTATGTTTTTAAATTTTAAAATTTTTGTATTTTAAATTGTGTCTAGTGTAAACCACTAAATGTCTGGTAATTTGGTAAAGCAGCAATAAAAAACTGATACAAATGTGACGTAGTACGGATTCTATTTTATTGATACCGATGTATTACCAGTGATTATAATCAACCAACCCACAATTCCTCCAAATTTATTGGATGCATAAACAAAAGACTAAAAGATTGCTGATAAATCAGATAATGGAATTATCAGTTTTCTAATTGGAAAATAAACTTAAAATAATTATGAAAATTTAGTGTATACCATTTTTTGAGAGGAGTCCTTATCATATTGAAAATTGTTAAAATGCCTTTGTGAAGTTATATTTTAAAATTTGACTCCAAAAGTTCAGGCTTTTTTTTTAAAATACATCCTGCAGAGTTTTGTGATATTTTTTCAGTAAGTATAGAATGGATTTTTTGAATTTATGTAACAGGATTTTCATTTTAATATTTAGATTGCTTTAATTTGGAATGAAGGAAGAAACATCGCTTTGAAGAAAAAAGCAAACAGTGTGTTGTTTTGAGAAGTTCTAGCCAAATAAACCGACATGCAAATTGAATAAAGGAAAACAAGATTCAGAGAAGAAAAATATGGTGTGGGTCTTCATATGTTTTTTGTTTTTGGACTTTTTATTCTTCCTTTAAAGACTAACGCTGGACACATTTACAATGCAAAAGCTTGTCATACCGACATGGGAGGCAAATCAGTGACTTTAAGTATATTATAACTTTGGAAAATGAAAAAATTCTCATTCATGATTAATTTTGTTATTTAGGTTAATAATCTATTTATGTTCAAATTCTAGCTCATATATTTTTAAAACACCTTTTCCAGAAGTCGTTTTTACATTGCTGACAAATGGATATGACATCAATTTTTTTTAGCACTTATTCTGTGCCAACACCAGAACTTTATATGGGTAATCTAATTTAATCTGTCTCTCCCCTAAGACCGTCTCTCTCTCTCTCTCTCTCTCTCACACACACATACATACACACATATACATGCACACATACACACATACACAAATGTAAATGCACACAATGGCAAAACTGAGGATGGGACAGTTGTATAACTTGCCCAAAGACAGGCAATAATAAATAGTAAGTATGTCTTTATATTTGAGCTGTGTTATTTCCTTGAAGAACAAATTACTGAACTTAGCATTATTTCTCCCCTTATTTATTTTATTTTATTTTACTTATTTATTTAATCTGGAGGGACAGAATTGATTCAGCTATGTAACTAAAATTTTGTTATTATTTCAATTTGCATGAATTAATTTTTGAAGGACTTTCATTTGGTTTCAAAAAGCCAGAAAATTGTGTTTATATTCAGTCATGACGTAAATGTCAAAAGTCTTGTTTTCCAATCTGGCATACAAAAAAACAAAATGTAAATTTGAGAAACTTCTGTATTTCATTTATTGCCAACCAAATTAGATTTTAAACCCTTGACCATAAGGATTGTGCCCAATCTGATTGTATCCTCCTTACACATTTTTACATAAGCAATCATGTAACTTCAAAGATGCATTCTGCTCTTAGCACTTAAAAGCTTTTTAAACTATTAATGGCTTCATTACCTTTTTTAATGATTATACAATCTATTACATAGGTATCTTATACTAAATATTTGCTTTGTAATACAAACATAATATATCTTGCAGTTTATGACTCATAATGAAAAGTTTGTATATGCAGATTATTTTTTCTTTCCTTTTGATTATTCTATATTTTATTATTTGGAGGCAGGGGGATTGCCTGCCGAAAATTGATACGCAGGACCAAAGGATATGAATTTTTGATTTTCTTCCCTTTTAATTGGGCCAGTTAATGCAGCCATTAGCAATAAATGAATATTGGATTTTTCAGTGTCTTTTACAGCTGGGGGTATTAATGTTTGCTAATTTGATACATAAAACACAGTACTCTTTAATATATTTGATTGCTCATAAGAAAGAATTTTTAAAGTAATAATGATATCTATTGTTATTATAAACTTAATGCACACTAATTAGAGACAATATTAAAGATATAGAGCATGATAGAAAAGATAAATTTTTCACAATCCTATTATATACTTAGATGTTATTACAGTTAACATTTTGGAGTGTATCCTTTCATCTAACTCTCTATTATGCATATATATATATATATATATATATATATATATATATATATATCTTTACCTATATCTGTAATTGTATTTATCAATACCTATATAAACATATAAACACAATTTTTAAATATACTGGAATCACATTTTCCATAAACATATACAGAAATATTAGAATATATTCACGTGGTTTCTCTAAGTTTTCTCTCATGAAGTGTATAGCTGCTTGGAATTTCTGGGACAGTGACCAGAATGTTTCAATAGACTGGGTTTCCTGAAGAACACAGTAGTGAGGTGAGGCAAATGTAAATCTTTTGAGTATATAAAATGTTCTCCACATTCATTCTCACTCCCTTTCTCTCTCCCCCCAGCCCTCTCTTCCTCTCCCCCAGTTCCCACATTCTGCTTCTCTCTCTCTCTCTCTTTATCTCTCTCTCATGTACAGATTGAGATTGAGATGGTGATAGAGAGATAGAGATTTAAAGGGAATGGATACACTCTAAGTTGCAAGGTTTTCATCTTTAAGTTATTCAAATATTCTCTGGAATGCTGAAATATAATATGATATGGCATGCTATTTGATGACATATATGTTTATATATTAAACATTTCTGGATGGATTGTTAATAGTGGCATATCTCCAGGGAGTGGTGCCAGAAGGGCAAAATAAGTGAGATATTTTACATGTTATTTTATGCTATTCATTAAAATATATGTATATTAGTTTCTCTTTGGGTATCAGTTTTGCTTTTTCATTCTACTTGGGTTCATCACTCAGTGTTATATTTGGCCTCAACATGACCCATATTATTTATAAATTTGTTATAAAATATAGTGCATACAAAAGTGCCTGATACTTACTAAAGAAATAGAATAGCATTCAATTATTTCATCTGTTTATGTGCTTCTCCTCTAACTTAATATTTTGCCTCTAGCTTCAACATTCTAGACCCAGACCACCATTCTTTGGAATTTTATATTGCATATCACACCGATTTTATAATAATATGACTTTATTACAAATATACAGTTTATGTATGTTTGACTCTAAGTTTTCCTAGCTGATGCAAAAGTTATTATACTATGGGTAGTTTTTAAATTTTTTGGCGCACAATATTATGTAAGAATCAATCATGTTATTGCATATTTTCATTGTAGTATAATAATCTATTGTTAGTCAAACTACTATGTACTTGCTCATCCTTATAACAATGAGCATTTTGGTGACATTCATTTTTGTTATTATAGATAATGTTTCTATGGATATTCATGTATGTACATCCTAGAAACCATGGCTAATAGTTTCTTTTAGGTGTTTTCTGGGAAAGTAATTTCTATTTCCTAAGGTACACAAATTACAACTCTTTACAAGATTATGTTAAAATATTTTCCAAATGAGTTACACAAATTAACATGTCCAGTATCAATATATAGGAGATACACATAGTCCATATCTGATTCAACACTTATTATAAAAATTCTTAATTTGCATCAACTGAATTAATGTTAAATAA
The DNA here is from genome assembly GCF_000001405.40 of Homo sapiens. Taxonomy (NCBI): domain Eukaryota; kingdom Metazoa; phylum Chordata; class Mammalia; order Primates; family Hominidae; genus Homo; species Homo sapiens. The sequence goes on along the minus strand of NC_000011.10, from coordinate 37,670,604 downwards.
CATCTCTTTTGATTGTCTTTTGAATTCCCTGATTTTTAATAAGCATAGGAGTAGCTACTATTTAAACAGTAACAATAGCAAAAACAGCAAAAACACTAAACGTAAGACAAACAAATAAATTTAACCTCATTAAAGCTAAGGGCTAAGGTTGTTGAAAAAAATGCTCCTTTATAAAAGTGAAAACACAAGCCAGTAATTGGTAGAGAATATTTGCAAAACATGTAATCAGAAACACATCAATATAAAAGCAGTCTTATAAATCAATAAGAAAAGACAAACAACCTAGTGAAAAATGTGAGAAAAATATATGAGCAGAAATTTCACAGGAGAAACACAAATGCTCAACAAACTACAGAAATCAATTTATTTTAGAATGATTAAAAATTATAAATATTAATTAACATACAAAAGGGACAATAAAACAAATCATTAGAAAGAAAAGTGACAAGATATTGATGACCTCATTGAGAACACTTTCTTGGCTGGGTGCAGCGTATCATGCCTGTAATTCCAACACTTTGGAAAGCGTAGGCTGGAGGATAGCCTAAGCCCAGTAGTTCAAGACTGAGTGAGTTATGACTATGCCACTGCACTCCAATTTGGGGGACAGAGAAAGACCCTGTTCAGAGAGAGAGAGAGAGAGGACAGAGAGAGAAAGAGAGACAGAGAGAGAATGGTCTCAAGCTTTTTGTTTGAACATCAAAATGATTATTGCCTTTTGAAATACTCATGGACTGAGGCAGAGAAAGGAGGGATATGCCATTTCCAATTCTACCACTACTCACAGCTTAACTCTCTTCTTATCTTCTGTCATTTGAATTTTTGAAATATGAAGGTCATTTCTAACAACTGTGGCCCTATTCATTGAAATAAATATTCCTAACTGGTTTGATGTCAATGAGCGAAGCTTTCTAAGCTTTGCGTTAAAGACCCTTGGCATTGGTGAAAGGAGATGTAGGCTTGTATTACTATTTTTTCCAAAGCCATATGAATAAGCAGCTCTGCACTTGGAGTAAGCAAAAGCTTGTGATCATGTGTTTTGATGCAAGTGAAGAGGCTACAATCAGAAGAAAACCAAAGGACAAAGAAGGACCAAACCAAAGGACAAGCACCAGCCTTGCTTTTTGATCATTAATATTACTGCCTTTTTTTCTCCCTTTTAAATAATGATTTTTCAAACAGGCTGTGATGGTAGACTATATTCTTTGAAACTGTATTTATACCATTTTGTCATTGACACTTTCTATTCTGCCTAAGAAAGGTAAATGTTACCCAGAGGAGAATTCTTTTAAATTGAGGTTTTTCTATTTGAGGAAGAAGCCTATTATTGAAATTCTGAAGGCCATAAAGATACCATTTAGTGAATTTCAGAGTAAATCACTTTTTGCTTTTTTGCATTGCAGTTTTATCTAGTCTAAATAACTTCAGGTGAAACTGCCCTACTCACTTTAAAGACATCTTTCTCTCATACTTTGGAAATTACAGATGTTATTAATTAATCATTATGAAATAAATATCTACATAAAACAAATATTTATATTAATAAAATACATTTTTTGTTTATATGCATGTTTTCATTTATGTATTATGTATGTACATAATGTGTATTGGCATATGTGTGTATATGTAAGTCTATTGATGGATGGATGTGTGTATATTTAAGTATTTTTATACACACAAAAGCACACTTGCACAGTTAGTTATGCTGCTTGCAAGGGCAGACTTCCCTTGCACCCCTCTTATAGTTTTTCTAAATAGTTCTTAAAACTGTAAAAAATTTACATCACTGTAATATACTATTAATACTTTAGAAAATGTGTCCCTATGTGACAATAATTATTTGTCATATTTTGTGAAGGTTTTTTCTACCCAGATTGGTTGGAATAGCTAAGTTTAATCAACGTCTAGGTGGCTTATGCCTGTAATCCCAGCACTTTGGGAGACCGAGGTGGGTGAATCACCTGAAGTTAGGAATTCGAGACTAGCCTGCCCAACATGGCGAAATCTTGTCTCTACTAAAAATACAAAAAATTAGCCAGGCATGGTGGTGGGCACCTGTAATTCCAGCTGCTCGAGAGGCTGAGGCAGGAGAATCGCTTCAACCCGGTAGGCAGAGGTTGAAGTGAGCTGAGATTGCGCCACTGCACTCCAGCATGGGCGACAAGAGCAAAACTCTGTCTCAAAAGTAAAAATAAAATTCATATTTAAAGGTTATTGATAAATACAACCCCACCTCATTATCCCAGTCTCCTTTTTTCCTGCCTTATTTTTTCTAGAATAGTCAATACTTTTTAATTATATATATGTATATATGCACACACACACGTATATAATATATGTATATACGGTGTAGTTTACTTAATTATCTATTGTATTAGTCTGTTTTCACATTGCTAATAAAGACATATCTGAGACTGGGTAATTTATAAAGGAAAGAGGTTTAATTGACTTACAGTTCAGCATGGCTGGAGTGGCCTCAGGAAACTTACAATAATGGCAAAAGGGGAAGCAAGCACGTCCTTCTTCACATGGTGGCAGGAGACACAAGAATAAGTGCCCAGCGAAGGCAGAAGCCCCTTATAAAACCATCAGATCTCGTGAGAACTACCTAGCTATTGTGAGAACAGGATGGGGGAAACCACCTCCATGATTCAACTATCTCCACTTGGTCCCTCTCATGACATGTGGGGATTATGGGGACTAAACTTCAAGATGAGATTTGGGTGGGGAAACAGCCAAATCATCACCTATAAGCATTTACTTTTTATCTTTTTTGATTGAAAATTATAGCCTCAATAATGTGGGATTTTTTTCTGTTTTTCTTTTTCACTGACATATCTAAAATCCTAGTAGAGTGCTCAACGAATATTGGTTGAATTACTGATATCATCGTCTCTGCTTGAAGGAAAAGGATGAGCAGAAGCTGCAGGACTCTAGACTAGGTTTAAAACTGTTCTGTTACTTTTGTAGTTGTTTGATTTGAGGAAGCTATTTGATCACTCTGATACCTGGTTCTGTATATTAAATAGAGATAATATTGCTGATTTCTCAGAATATGTCATTCATCCTAACCACTCAATAAATAATAGTTATTGTTACTATCAGTTAGCAGAGAGTCGTGCCAGGACATTAGATAACTAAAGCTGAGGTACTGTACCAATAAAGAACATTTTGCTTTTCCCTCTTCTTGAAAACCTCTTGCCCTTTGTGTCTGCAAGGCCAAAGTATTCATCTCCTTCTGGTTATTACTCAAACCTCAGCTTTTCAGTGAGCACTTTGTAGCTCACCTACCTAAAATACAACTTCCTCTCGTCTTCACAAAATTCTAACCCTTTCCTCACTTTATTTTCTGATTAGTATTCTTTGCTATGTAACAAACATACATTTTACTTTTTCTTGTGTGTAATGTATACACACCCCATCCCCATTAATATGTGTACTTTTTGAGGACAAGAATTTTCGTGTGGTTTGCTGTTATATCCTCAGGTCTAGAACAATATTTATTCAGCATGAGCAATAAAATTATAATGAATAAACCAACCCTATTTTTACAAATATAGAAATTTAGTCACCAAGAGGGTAATTTTCTCAAGGGCACACACACATTAATAAGTGGCTGATATAGGATTAATAAATTAATAAGTGGCACATATAGAATTCAAATTTAAGTAGTCTGGTTTTTGTCTCAGGATCTATAGTAACACCCTGTGTAATTACATTTCCAATAGTGGTAATTTGTGTCATCTCCCTTCTTTTCTGTGTCAGTGATATGATTTGGATCTATGTCCTCACCCAAATCTTATGTTCAGTTTGTAATCCTCAATGTTGGAGCTAGGGCCTGGTGGGAGGTGATTGAATCGCAGGGGTGGATCTTTCATGAATGGTTTATCTCCATCCCTTTGTTGCTGTTTATTCGATAGAGTTCTCAGGAGACCTGGTTGTTTAAAAGTGTGTGACACCTCCCACCTCCATCTCTCTTGCCCCTGCTCTAGCCATATAAGACATGTCTGCTTCCCTTTCACCTTCTGCCATGATTGTAAGTTTCCTGAGGTTTCCCATGAGGCAGAGTAGATGCTTCCATACTTCCTGTACAACCTGGTTGCAACCCTGAGTCAATAAAAACCTCTTTTCTTTATAAATTGCCACATCTAAGGTATTTCTTTGTAGCAATGTGAGGACTAATAGTCAGTCTTATATTATTTTATATATATTTATAATATTATATTATTATAGTAATTTCTATATTTTATTCATCTTTTCAAAGACCTGGCTCTTTGTTTCATTGATATTTTTATTATCCCAGGGCTTACTGTTTTATGCTGATGACTATTCAAGCACTGAAAACAATTTTCTCCTATGCTATTGGAATTTTGTAAATTTTTATTAATTGGAGGGATATATAGTTCCATTTATTACGTGACGATCAGATGCACTATTTGGATAAAAGATTTTTATTTATAAAGCTTTTCTTCTTTTTGTTTTCAAAAAAGTATTCCATATATAAATTATTTATTTACCCCAAAACTGTAAAGTTTTATTTTTTCTTTTTATATTGTTTTATATTCAGTTATCTAAATTTTATTTTTGAATTAGCATTTGTTTATGGTGTGAAGTAAGCTTCAAGAGTTATTAATTTTTCCCAAATATTTATCTAGTTATACCAATCCAATTCATTGAAAGACTTTCTTTTTTCTACTGAATAGCTTTGTAATCTTTATTCTTAACTTAATGGACTCTTGCAGATATGGTCAAATGAGTCTTGACAAGGGTGTCAAGATAATTCAATGAGGAAAATAATATAATGATCTTTGCTTTCAGTAAATACTATGTCATCTAAATTATTGCATTACTGATGCAAAACGCACTTGGTCATGATATATTTTTCTTTTCTATATATTGTGCAAGTTGATTGGCTAATATTTTGTTATACATTTTTATATTTTTTCATTAGAGATATTTTTGGCATTGCCTTCATTAGGTTTTAGTATCAGGGTTATACTGATCTCATACAATAATTTGGGAATAATTCCGATATGGTTTGGCTCTGTGTCCCCACCCCAATCTTATGTGGAATTGTAATTCCACATGTGATTCCCACATGTCAGAGGAGGGGCCTGGTGGGAGGCGGATTTCCCCCTTGCTGTTCTCATGATAGTGAGATCTGATGGTTTAAAAGGGCACTTCCCCCTTCTTTTTCCCTCTCCTGCTCTGTCATGGTAAGAAATGCTTGCTTCCTCTTTGCCTTCCACCACATAAGGCTCCTGAGGTCCCCCAGTCAATAGTTCTAGGTTCCCTCAGAACTATGAGTCAATTAAACCTCTTTTTCTTCATAAATTACCCAGTCTCGGGTAGCTCTTTCTTTCTTTTTTCTTTTTTTTTTGATACAGAGTCTTGCTCTGTCACCTAGAGTTCAGTGGCTAGAGTTCAGTGGCGTGATCTCGGCTCACTGCAGCCTCTGCCTCTGGGTTCAAGCAATTCTCCCACCTCAGTCTACCAAGTAGCGGGGATTACAGGTACATGCCACCACACCCGGCTAATTTCTGTAATTTTTAGTAGAGACAGGATTTTGCAGTATTGGCCAGGCTGGTCTCAAATTTCTGGCCTCAAATGATCCACCCAGCCTCAGCCTCCCAAAGTGCTCCCAAAGGGATTACAGGCATGAGTCACTGTGCCCAGCCAGGTAGCTCTTTATAGCAGTGTGAAAACAAACTAATAAAAGCCCTTTACTTTATTTTCTAAAGTTTATATAAATCTGATTTATTTCTAATTTAAAATAATTATTTTAAATATATTATTATAGTAAATAATTTTGATTTAAAATCATTTCATTATTTCTGATTTAAAATAATTTCATACTTTAATATTTTATCTGTGAGCAAAATTATAGGTTTTCAAACAGCATCTAACATGAGAAGAATCTAGATATTTAATGTTACTTTTTGGTTCTGTCTTAGAATTTCCATTTATCTGCCTACATTTCCCATCTGTTCCTGCATGCTGTCCACTTTTCCATTAGAGTCCTCAGCATATTAATCACGGTTATTTTAAATTCCCAATCTGATAATTTCAACATTCCTTCCACAGCTGAGTTCTTGCTTTGATGCTTGCTCTGAATTTCAAACTGTGTTTTTTGCATTTTAGTAAGTCTCATAATGTTTTCTTGATAGCCAGATATCAGGCACTGCGTGAAAGAAATTGCTATAAAAAAGCCCTTAGTAATATAGTGCTAAAGCATGGCAGAGGGGAAGCATTTTCTAGTCCTGTGGTCAGGACTCAGTTTTTTAGTGAGTCTATACCTCTGAATTTTAAACTTCAAGCCTGCTCCTGATGTTTTGTTTTGTTTTGTTTCCACCTTGCCTCTGCTGCCTCCTTTACTCCCATAGGTAAGACAAGATGACTAGAGTAGGCTGAGGTTGGGTATTTCTCTTCTCGCAGGTCAGTTAGGCTCTGATAAAACCCCAGCAGGTTAGGCTCTAGTTAAATTGTTTCTTGTGAAGATAGACTTTGTTAAGAATGAGACATATGATGTATTTCAAAACAGTTTCTTTTCCCTTCGGCCTGCTGGAAACACAAGAGGATGTTTCTCCTATATTCTCTGTGTAGATGTTGTATAGCTCCTAGTAGTAAAACTCACAAGTGTTCCTCTCTGTATGACTGGGATTCGTTTCCCTGGTGATTTTTAACTTTCAAATTTGTCCACATTGAGCCTCCGGCAATTCATCCACTGGAGTTCAAGTTGTTGTACCTGGGCACTGATTCCCATGAAGGTTGCTACAGGTGAGTTTCTGCTTCAGTAAGTTGCAATTCTCTGTATTCTTCTGTCAATCTCTCCGGTTGGGAGTGGGATAACTGTTTGTCTTGTGACTTCATTTGTCCTATAAATCTAAGAGCCGTTATTGAGTTTTCAGTTTATACAACTTTTTAGTTGTTGTTAGGACAAAGTAGCAACTTCCAAGCTTCTTAAATGCTGAACCAGAAACTGGAAATCTAGGAATCTGGTTTTAAGTAAGTAACAAAGCATGATCTTGCCAAGAAAAAATATACTAGAGTTAGTTTAAACACAGCTGTAGCAAAGCTGTGTTCTTTAAGAATAACACAGAGCACTCCACCCCCTGATCATACTTGCTACAGAAAAGATATAATATATAATATCTCTAATTTGGAAGGATTTGAGGAGATATGTTTCATCCAATGCTGGAAATTTCACTTAATTCAATAACAAATCAAATAAGAATATAAAAAATACTCAAAGAACTGCAAGTAAAAACAATTGACACAAGCAAAAAGGCTGGGTGCTGAGGGCTCACCCCAAAGCAAGCCTTGCTGTATCACTGCTTAACACCTCCACTTATGGGAAGTCGGTGTTTATGAAATCGCATAAAGATTAGTAGAAGGCAGTAGCTTTTACGAATTTTTTCTTCACATTTGTATTTATCTCCTATAACAGTGTTCTTCATCAGGCTATTGACTTAAGTTGCACTGTTATTTTTTAGTATTGTAGACGCTCTTAGCTTGATCTTACCCAAAGGCCTTTGGACATGTTATTTTCTTTTCTGAAAATTCTTTCTTTCTTCTTTGATTTTAACTCCTAAGTATGTCTTTAAGCTCTAGCTCAGTGATTTCTTTTTCTGATTTTTGTAGGTCAATCCTCTTTTCTTAGATTCTCACAGCAAAATATAATGCATTTATAGTTCATATTATGGTGAAAGTGTTATTTATTTTTTAAATAAATTTTGTACCTGTTTTTCCCATTAAAATATAAGTTTCATTAGATAAGTAGACAACTGTGCAACTGTGTCTATTTTTGCTCTCCAATAAGTACCTATTTCTATCAGGCACTTAGCATAAAAATAATCATTCGATAAATATTTATGCAATGAGTTAATGAAGTAAATAAAATACATTTACGACTTATTAAAAATCCCAGGTCTTAAATAGTTTCATACAGCCTTTGTATTATCTCAAAATTTTATTTGCCAGTAAAACAATCCAAGTTTCTTTAAACCTTACTATGTAGTACTTCAAGTCTCTACCTCATATTAAATAATGTTTATTGCAGAATAGAAATGAATCAGTTAAAGCCTAGAGGTTTTTATGTAATATCTTGAGTAAACTGCTCAGTTTGACATGCTTCATCCATTTTACTGCCATGCCATAAATGTCTTTATAGAAATCACTGGTTGAAATATTAAATTCAGGGTATATCATGGTGTTCCATTAGGCACACAACATTTTAACCTATGCTTATTTTATGAGAAGCCTTTTAACTTATTACATGTATACCTACCTATATTGTGATATAAATCACAGTTATTAAATGTTCTATCAAAACTATAACTTTTTTCTAATTTATTAGTTTGATAAAATTATCTAGGAAAAATTGGTTTGAAATTGGTTTTTACTGATATATCTATAGTGAACTCATTCCAGACTCTAGAGATCTCTGTTTTGCTTCCTATTGAGTAATTTAATCTTTAAAGATATTTCCTATTAAACTACATCCATCAAACCATGGTAAGAAAAATCAAAGATTTCCGTCTCTTAGGGAGTCAAGATGTCTGTTTATATGCACGATTTTGTCCTCCTTCTATCATCTGGTGATTTAAAAGGTATTGAATGACGGAACTCAGTCTTCACTCTCTTTCATGGTTTGCTATGAGCAACATAGCACTCACAGACTCTAAATCATGTTACACATAACCAACCTTCTTACATAACAGTGTCTTCAACTTGCACTTTTTAATACTGGCCCTATCTTTCATAGTCTGAAAACATTTCTACTCAAAGACAATCTGGAATCATAATAGAGTAAAAGAGAGGAATTACACCCCACAATGAATTATATCCCTGGCCTCATCCATACATATTTTACATTATGTAGCTGATGAGATTTGAGACTTTTAAGCTGATGTGACTCAGATGATATTTTGAACTTGAGCTGATGCTGTAATTCATTGAGATTTTTGGGGACCTTGGGTGGAATGAATGCATTTTGCATGTGGGATAGATGTGACTCTTTGGGAACCAAAGCCTAGAATGTTGGGCAGAATAACAGTTCTGGAATAATGTGCACAGCCTAATCTCTGCAACATGTAATAGCTACATACATGGCAAAAATGAATTAAGATGACTGATAGGATTTATCTTGCTAGTCAACTGACATTAAAATGGGGAGACTTTCTTAGTTTATCTAAGTGGGCTCAATGTAGTCTCAAAGGTTGTTATAGATTTAAGAGGGAAGAAGAAGAGAGAATCTGAGAAATTGCAGCATGAGAAGGACTTGGCCTGATGTTGCTGGCTTATAAATGGAGGAATGTTACCTCAAGGCAAGGTACATGGGCAGCCTCTAGAAGCTGGGAAAGGCAAGGAAACGGATTCTCCTTTCAAGCCCTAAAAAGGAACAGAACCCTGGCAGTATGTTGAGTTTAGCCTGGTGAAGCTAATTTTGGGATTCCGACTTCTAGAAATGTAGAGTAATAAATTCATACTGTTTTAAGCCATAAAGTTTCTGGTAATTTGTTAATGCAATAACAGGAATCTAATACGCAATTGTATTTATTTTTAATATTTAAAAGTCGATTTGCCCTCTTTGAACTCAATCTAGATTTTTAATCTTGCTGATACTATTTTTAGAGCCTTAGAAGCCTGTTATACTATTTTATACAGATTCCATACTGCTAGACAAATTTTAATTTTTCAGCCTCTCCTTTCGTAAGGTTTCAAGAAAGACTAAAGTGAAAAATAAAACAAAATATGATAGAATTGAAAGAGTGATAAAAATAGTATCATTCATTTTTAGGCTTTATATATTCCTTTCTGGTAGGCATAGTTATTCAGACAAGAATATGGAATAAGTTTTATTTATAATAAGCAGATGAAATATTCTACATAATTGAGTATTGTTTTGCTTAATTTTATGTGTCAACTTGACTGGATTATAGGATGCTCCAATAATATTTGGTTAAATATTCTTTCTGGGTGTATCTGTGAAGGTGTCACTGTATGAGATTAGGATTTGAATATAGACTGTATAAAGTTATTGCCCGCCCCAGTGTGGGTGGATATCATTCAATCTCTTAAGAAGTGAATGAAATGAAAAGATGGAAGAAGGGAGAATTCACACTCTCTGATGAACTGCTTGAGTGGCAATATGTGTCTTCTGAGAAATACACCATTGGAACTCCTAGTTCTCAGAGTTTCAGATTCAGGCTGGAGCTATACCACCTGCTTTCCTGGGTTTCCAGGTTGCATATGGCAGATCATGGAAGATTTCAACCTCAATAATATTATGTAAACACATTACTTATTATACACATATGTGAGTATACGTATACATGTATTTGTATATGTATCTATATGTGTATATATGTATGCATATATGTGAATGCATATATACATACTGTGTATATATGCATGTAGGTGTATATAATATAATGTAATATTATATATGTATATATACTCTCCTATTAGTTCTGTTTTTCTGGAGAACCATGACTAATGCAATCACTTTAATATTTTAATTAAACATATTATTTACCAGTTTTATTTAACCATTTTATGTTACTATAAAGTCTCCCATTGTATCTGTGACACACATGTCCTGCCATTGTAATATAGTAGAAAGTTCTGAGGCCACCTTTATTCTTCTCAATGTATAAATGCATAAATTTAAGCTGTCTGCTATTTTTTTGTCTCTTTTTATTATTATTATTATTATTATACTTTAAGTTTTAGGGTACATGTGCACAATGTGCAGGTTAGTTACATATGTATACATGTGCCATGCTGGTGTGCTGCACCCAGTAACTCGTCATTTAGCATTAGGTATATCTCCTAATGCTATCCCTCCACCCTCCCCCACCCCACAACAGTCCTCAGAGTGTGATGTTCCCTTTCCTGTGTCCATGTGTTCTCATTGTTCAATTCCCATCTATGAGTGAGAACATGCGGTGTTTGGTTTTTTGTCCTTGCGATAGTTTACTGAGAATGATGATTTCCAATTTCATCCATGTCCCTACAAAAGACACGAACTCATCATTTTTTGTGGCTGCATAGTATTCCATGGTGTATATGTGCCACATTTTCTTAATCCAGTCTATCATTGTTGGACATTTGGGTTGGTTCCAAGTCTTTGCTATTGTGAATAGTGCCGCAATAAACATACATGTGCATGTGTCTTTACAGCAGCATGATTTATAATCCTTTGGGTATATACCCAGTAATGGGATTGCTGGGTCAAATGGTATTTCTAGTTCTAGATCCCTGAGGAATCGCCACACTGACTTCCACAATGGTTGAACTAGTTTACAGTCCCACCAACAGTGTAAAAGTGTTCCTATTTCTCCACATCTTCTCCAGCACCTGTTGTTTCCTGACTTTTTAATGATTGCCATTCTAACTTGTGTGAGATGGTATCTCACTGTGGTTTTGATTTGCATTTCTCTGATGGCCAGTGATGATGAGCATTTTTTCATGTGTCTGTTGGCTGCATAAATGTCTTCTTTTGAGAAGTGTCTGTTCATATCCTTTGCCCACTTTTCGATGGGGTTGTTTGTTTTCTTCTTGTAAATTTGTTTGAGTTCATTGTAGATTCTGGATATTAGCCCTTTGTCAGAAGAGTAGGTTGTGAAAATTTTCTCCCATTTTGTAGGTTGCCTGTTCACTCTGAGAGATTTTTTCACCACCAGGCCTGCCCTAAAAGAGCTCCTGAAGGAAGCACTAAACATGGAAAGGCACAACCGGTACCAGCTGCTGCAAAATCATGCCAAAATGTAAATACCATCGAGATTAGGAAGAAACTGCATCAACTAACGAGCAAAATAACCAGCTAACATCATAATGACAGGATCAAATTCACATATAACAATATTAACTTTAAATGTAAATGGACTAAATGCTCCAATTAAAAGACACAGACTGGCAAATTGGATAAAGAGTCAAGACCCATCAGTGTGCTGTATTCAGGAAACCCATCTCACGTGCAGAGACACACATAGGCTCAAAATAAAAGGATGGAGGAAGATCTACCAAGCAAATGGAAAACAAAAAAAGGCAGGGGTTGCATTTCTAGTCTCTGATAAAACAGACTTTAAACCAACAAAGATCAAAAGAGACAAAGAAGGCCATTACATAATGGTAAAGGGATCAATTCAACAAGAAGAGCTAACTATCCTAAATATATATGCACCCAATACAGGAGCACCCAGATTCATAAAGCAAGTCCTGAGTGACCTACAAAGAGACTTAGACTCCCACACAATAATAATGGGAGACTTTAACACCCCACTGTCAACATTAGACAGATCAACGAGACAGAAAGTTAACAAGGATACCCAGGAATTGAACTCAGCTCTGCACCAAGCATACCTAATAGACATCTACAGAACTCTCCACCCCAAATCAACAGAACATACATTTTTTTCAGCACCACACCACACCTATTCCAAAATTGACCACATAGCTGTCTGCTATTTTATCTTTAAAATTAAAACTCTTTGAAACTTATATAAATGTATCAACCCAATATGTGATGAATAAAAATATGAGAAATGAAAATCGCTAAATATGTTTAAACTTTTGTGTTTATACTGAACTGGTTGTGACATTACACAATATATTTAAGAATTCATTTTTCATTTAAAAAATATGTACCTTAAAATGTGGTTTTGAGGGTTAAATAACAAGTATAAAGACAGGTATCTTATATTGAGTTGTGCACATTTCATACACTCAAAAGATATTGACAAGTACCACTAGCATCATCTTGTGGTCATCTTTGTCATTATCAGTCTTTTCCTTTTGAAGATGCCATTTTATTTTCAGCCCATAAAATTATATTGTACTATCCCTTCAAATATTGCTTCTTTTTTCACTTTTTCTGATTCCTTCTTCTAGGACAGTTTCCTAAATATTGAATATCTATCAACTTTTTATTAATGAATCTTCTCTTGTAGTTTCGATGTATTCTCAGAAGTCAGTCAATTTTCTCCTCCACAATACTGATTTTAATATCTTATAGTGTGGATAGGATTTTTTATTCTTTGAAAATCTCATTCCAAGTGTTTGGTTGCAACTTTAAAAGTTTTCAAAATATATATATTTTTATCTAGACTTATTTTTATATCTTCAATTTTTATTGTTTATTTTCAAATTAGTTGACTTGCCTCATCTTTTTTCTTGTTTCTTATTGAGGTTATGATTATCTACAATTTATTGAGCAAAAGTGGAATTTTAATTATAGAGAATTGTATTGAAATCTAGGTATTTTTCTTGGATACAAAGAAACAAAAACACACTATAACATATCATTAAGAAGACAATAAACAGAAATGCAAAATAGAAAAAAGAAAAAATATATATAATGGATAGAATCAGACAATTCATACTAAGAAGGTTTGTAATTAAAATATAAATATTTTAAAATTCAAGTTTATAAAAATCATAGAAATGTAAATTAGGAGGTTTGCATTTATTACCTTTCAGAAAGAACAATATTAGAAAAATTACAAAATAATTTTAGTAAGATTATCATTTGCTAAAGATTTTTAAAAGATAATCAGGGAATATATAACAAAAACCTGAGTGTGTTTATTCTTCAGCCAATAATTACTTTAAATATGGTTTTCCTTAATACATGATAAGCATAAACATCTATGCTAATTTGTTTTTGTGCATTATTTTAACAGGAATATTGAAATAACATCAACAATAAATGTCACAGTCTTTTATAAACATAATCAAAACCTTTGAGAATAGAATATATTTAGGATGTATTGCTAAGTTTAAAATAAAATAGGAACTACATTATTACTATAGTACCAATTTTATTTAAAATTACATATATATATACAAATACGGACACACGCACATACATATCATTGTCCCTCCGTATCTGTAAAGGACTAGTTTAATTCCCTACAGATAGCAAAATCCATTGATGCTCAAGTTTCTTATGTAAAATGGTGTGGTATTTGCATATAACCTACAGACAGTTTTAAATGATCTCTAGATTACTTATAATACCTGTGTAGGGAAAACTCTCCCTACCTATTTTTTCTGTGCTCTCACACCATGACAATCATCAACACAGAAGAAGACTTCTGTGACCATATATGTGGGGAATTTTTGCCCCCACAAACCAAGCAGCTAACACCAGCTGGGTGTGCTCTAATTCAGTTCAGACACTGTCTACCTGGCCATAGTGTCAGATCGCACAGTGAGGGCTCAGTCCCCAAGACTGGCCTCTGCCCTGCACCGCAAGTCCAAGCCTCAGGAACTTCTGACCCATCAGCTTCAAGATGGAGTTCCCTCGACCCCCTTTTTGGGTTTGATTTTCTAGAGCAGCTTACAGAACTCAGGAAAACACTTACTTATTTTACTGGCTTAATATAAAGGATATTTCAAAGGATACAAAAGAACAGATGCGTAGCATGAGGTATGGGGGAAGGGGCAAGGGACTAGGAGCTCCAATGCTCTCCCTGGGAACTATCGCCCTCCAGGAACCTCCACATGTTCAGCTATCTGAAAGCTCACTGAACCTTGTCCTCTTGGGTTTTTATGGAAGCATCATGACATCAGCATTCTTACTATCAGAATATAGGGTGGGACCCTCTCCTGGGAGGACCTTAAGATCTGCAATCAGAAAGGCAGGGAAACATTAGAGTGAAAAGCAGGGATATGAACAGACACTTCTCAAAAGAAGACATTTATGCAGCCACAAGACACATGAAAAAATGTTCATTATCACTGGCCATCAGAGAAATGGAAATCAAAACCACAATGAGATACCATCTCACACCAGTTAGAATGGTGATCATTAAAAGTCAGGAATGGAATACTATGCAGCCATAAAAAATGATGGGTTCATGTCCTTTGTAGGGACATGGATGAAATTGGAAATCATCATTCTCAGTAAACCATCACAAGAACGAAAAACCAAACACGGCATATTCTCACTCATAGGTGGGAATTGAACAATGAGAACACATGGACACAGGAAGGGGAACATCACACTCTGGGGACTGTTGTGGGGTGGGGGGATGGGGGAGGGATAGCTTTAGGAGATATACCTAATGCTAAATGACGAGTTAATGGGTACAGCACACCAGCATGGCACATGTATACATATGTAACTAACCTGCACATTGTGCACATGTACCCTAAAACTTAAAGTATAATAATAATTAAATAAATAAATAAATAAAATAAAAAGTCAGGAAACAACAGGTGCTGGAGAGGATGTGGAGAAATAAGAACACTTTTACACTGTTGCTGGGACTGTAAACTAGTTCAACCATTGTGGAAGTCAGTGTGGTGATTCCTCAGGGATCTAGAACTAGAAATACCATTTGACCCAGCAATCCCATTACTGGGTATATACCCAAAGGATAATAAATCATGCTGCTATAAAGACACATGCACACATATGTTCATTGCAGCGCTATTCACAATAGCAAAGACTTGGAACCAACCCAAACGTCCAACAATGATAGACTGGATTAAGAAAATGTGGCACATATACACCATGGAATACTATACAGCCATAAAAAATGATGAGTTCATGTCCTTTGTAGGGACATGGATGAAGCTAGAAACCATCATTCTCAGCAAACTATCGCAAGGACAAAAAAACAAACACCGCATGTTCTCACTCACAGGTGGGAATTGAACAATGAGAACACATGGACACAGGAAGGGGAGCATCACACTCTGGGGCCTGTTGTGGGGTGGGGGGAGGGAGGAGGGATAGCATTTGGAGATATACCTAATGTTAAATGACGAGTTACTGGGTGCAGCACACCAACATGGCACATGTATACATATGTAACTAACCTGCACATTGTGCACATGTACCCTAAAACTTAAAGTATAATAAAAAAACGAGGGCAAAAGAAGGTCAGAGGCCTGCTCCTGAGGCCTAACTCACCCAACATTATAACAAAAGATGTAACAAGGGCTATGGGGAGTTATGAAACCTTGGATGAAAATTAGTATGTATGACAGCACCAAAATACCAAATGAAATGTAAGTGCTATGTAAACAGTTGTTCTGCTGTATGGTCAACGGAATAATGGCAAGAAATAAAGGTCTGTACATGTTCAGTACAGATGGAACAATACTTTATTTTTTCCAAATATGTTTTATCTATAGTAAAGAATCCATGGAATGCAGAACCCATAAATATAAAGGACCAACTATATTTATCTTTGTATCTCTAAATATGGTTATAGTTTAGATGTGCTTTGTTTGTGATAAATTATGATGCTATTCTTTTTCCATACTTATCCCTGATTCTCAAGGTTTTGCATTAAGCAAAAATTGCCTTTGAAGTAAAAAAAAATTGTTAAATTATTAAATAAGAAAAATTTCTACTTTAAGACATTTTTGTTAGAATTTCTTGTTTTAGATTTATTGAGGTATAATTGACACATAAAAATTGGATAAATTTAATATATCCAACATGATGTTTTGACATACATTTACAGAGTTAAATAATACTACAGTAAAGCTAATTAACATATTCTTCACCTCAGACAGTTGTCAATTTTGTGTGTGTGTTGAGAATATTTATGATCTATTCTCCTAGCAAATTTTAAGTATAAAACACATAATAATTAACTATAGTCACCATGCTGTACATTAGATCTCCACAAAAAATTTATCCTGCGTAAGTAAAACTTTGCATCCTTTGACCAACATCTCCTCATTTCCCCTACCCTTGACAGCAATATATTCTCTGTTTTTAGGAGTTTGATGACTTTTTGACACACATATAAGTGAGAGCATGCAGTGACTGCCTTAATGAGCCTAGCTTATTTCACTTAGCACAACCTCTAGATGCATCCAAGTTATTGAAAAGACAGAATTTCCTTCTTTTTAAGGATGAATAATATTCCAATGCATATATACCAGATGTTTAACCTTGTATTTATTAATGGATATTTAGATTGTTTTTATGTCTTGGCTGTTGTAAATAATAATATAATAAACATGAAAGTACAGATAACTCTTGGAGATACTGATTTCATTTCCTTTGGATACATATCCAGTGATAAGAATGCTAGATCTTATGGTAGTTCTATTTTTAATTCTTTAATACTTTAAGGAACCTCTACACTGTTTTTCATAATGGCTGTACTAATTTACATTTCCACCAAAAATGTACAAAGGTTTCCTTTTTTCCATAAGGTTGCCAACACTTACCTTTTGTCTTTGACAAAAGTCATTCTAATAGACATAAGATGATATCTCATAAAGGTTTTGATTTGCATTTCCCTAATGATTAGTTATGTTGGGCATTTTTTGTATGTCTTCACTGAAGAAATGTCTGTTCAAGTCCTTTGCTCATTATTAATTTATGTTATTTGTTTTCTTGCTCTTGAGTTGAGTTTCTTCCCTATTTTGATATTAACTCATTGTCAGATGAATGATTTGCACATGTATGGTTTCCATTAAGTAGGCTGTATCTTCACTTTTTGATAGTTTCCTTTGCTGTGCAGAAGCTTTTCAGTTTGATGCAATCCCATTTGTATTATAGAGAAAAAAACTCCCTGACATTAGTCTGGCAACAAGTTTTTGAATATGACCTCAAGATTACAGGCAACAAACTCCAAAATCGATGAATAGGACTGTATCAAACTAAAAAGGTCTGCACAGCAAAGGAAATGGTCAAGAGAGTGAAGAAACAACCTACAGAATGAGAGAAAATATTTGCAAACCATACATCTGACAAGGAGTTAATATCCAAAATATATAAGACACTCAACTCAACAGCCAAAACAAAAAAAATTGATTTAAAAAATGGGCAAAGGACCTTAATAAATGTTTCTCAAAATAAGACATACACATGGCCATCAGGTGTATTACAAAATGCTCAATATTACAACTCATCATTCTAATGTAAATTAAAATCACAATTTGCATTTAAATAAGATATCATCTCACACCTGTTAGAATGGCTATTATCAAAAAGACAAAAGATAATAATTATTGACAAACTGGAGATAAAGGAATCCTTGCACACTCTTGGTGAAAGTAGAAATTATTACATCCCTGATAAAAACAGTATAGATGGTCCTCAAAAATTAAAAATAGAACTACCATATGATCCATCAATTCCACTACTGGGTATATATCCATAGTAAATAAAATCAGTATGTCAAGGAACTATCTGCATTCCCACATTGATTGCAGCGTTATTGAAAACAGCCAAGTTATGGAATCAACGTAAGTGTTCATCAATGCATAAATTGATAAAGAAAATTTTGTATGTATATAGAGTGAAATACAATTCAGCCATTATACATGGGAATAAACCCTGTTATTTGAGACAATATGATTAAACCTAAAGGAAGTTACTTTAAGTGAAATAAGCCAAGGACAGAAAGATAAATACTGTAAAATCTCATGCATATGTGGAATCTAAAAAGTTTTATCTCATAGAAGTAGAGAGAAGAAAGGTGGTTGCAAGAGTCTAGGATGGTTGGGGGTTGGTGGTGGGGTTTGGAGAGATGTTGGTCAAAGGATACAAAATTTTAGTAAGAATTAGTAAGTTCAAGCGATCTTTTGTACAACATGGTGGCTATAGCTAATAACAATATATTTTATTATTAGAAATGCTAAGAAAGTGGATATTAAGTATTCTCAGCACTATTAGCAATATAATTGGTAGTATCTGAGGCAATTCCCATATTAATTCGCTAGATTTAGTTATTAGTCTAGCTAATTAGTATTTAGTTATTTCACAATGTGTATGTACTTCAAACCATCATATTATACACAGAAATGCAAGCAGTATTATCTTTCAAAATACTTTCAGAAAAATTAAGTTAAAAAATAAAAAAGTTTTTCACAATGGTCTTTATGTCTGCTTTTCCAGTTGATTTTAATTCAGAATATCTTTTTATACATGTATTGAGCAACTGTTGGTTTTGTGAAAGGTCTATTCATGTTTTTCTTCAAACTCTTCATATAGTTTTGTACCAGAAAGCAGGCTGGGACAGACATTATTAGTTTGGAAGTTTTTATTAATTGTTCTTGGAATCAACATTTGTAGAAAGAAAGAGAAGAAAAATTGGGCAGGATAGAGCCGGGTGTGGTGGCTCATGCCTGTAATCCCAGCACTTTGGGAGGCCGAGGCGGGCAGATCACAAGGTCAAGAGATTGAGACCATCCTGGCCAACATGGTGAAACCCCGTCTTTAGTAAAAATACAAAAATTAGCTGGGCGTGGTGGCGGGCGTCTGTAGTCCCAGCTACTCAGGAGGCTGAGGCAGGAGAATAGCTTGAACCTGCGGGGAGGAGGTTGCAGTGAGCGGAGATCACGCCACTGCACTCCAGACTGGGCAACAGAGCGAGTCTCCGTCTCAAAAAAAAAAAAGAAAAAAGAAAAGAAAAAAGAAAGATTAGCAGGATAAAATATTGGGCCAAGATGCATTCTCACAGAAGGCCTCAGCTTACCTTATGAAGAGCTCTGAAGTTGAGATAATATCTTAGAGTTATGTAACTTGGGGCAAGTGGGATAGGTTTTTATAACTCCGTGTACTTAAGTAATTGAATATTGGTTGCCTGAGGAAGGGAACATGTCTTTGAGTGAAGTGGCTCACTTCAGTTAAGGTGCCCGAGGAAGGCTGACAACTGTGAATTGTCAACTGGCAGCAGTCCAAGCAGTTAAGGGAATGAATTCTTCATTTATAAAGAGTAATCTGAAAGATATTACAATTACCACTAGTCTACCACTTACCCTGCTCACATCCATTTCTTTACATATTCCTGGGATCATCAGGTCCAGGATTCCCAAGAAAATTCTGTCTAGGGGGAAACTTAAGAAAATGTCATAATATAAATCAGCCCCACAACCTCAGCTAGTCTAAGGTTCACAACCAACGCGCTCTGTCTCTCTCCTCTACTATACAGTTGAAATTCCCCTGTACGTCACCTAGCACCGTTGCTAATCTCTGTGGCATGCCTACATATAGGTACAATCTAAACACTCATCCATGAAGGGTCTTCTCCTTGATCACTATGCCCAACTGTAGCATGGCTGCTACAATTGTCTATTTATTGTAAAAACTGGGTGAGGGAATACCAAAAGCTTCCAAGCGGATCACACCTGTACCAAACATATGCTTCTTTGCCTCATGGCAAAACAGCTCCCCTATCTCTTCCTGGTGGTCAAGACTGATTATCTATTACATGAAAGGAAATACAA
Source organism: Homo sapiens (assembly GCF_000001405.40). NCBI lineage: Eukaryota > Metazoa > Chordata > Mammalia > Primates > Hominidae > Homo > Homo sapiens. The sequence goes on along the minus strand of NC_000011.10, from coordinate 37,650,396 downwards.
TTTTTTCTTTCAACTATTCACTTAGATATTTAGATTATTGGCCATCCACTTTATTTTCCAAAATCACAGACTATGACACATTTTTCTATTGCCTGTTTTCAAATATTTCTGATTCTATCTATCCCATCTGGGGACAGGGAGATAATTAAATTGTTGAATGAGTTCTGTCAGGGTAAATACGACAACATTCTCCAGTACTCTTATTCTGAATATCTGACACAGTAAATAGTCTATAAAGCACCTGTTGAATGAATAGTATGCTCATGGTAACAAAATAATTCTTTATCTCTGTCTCTGTTTTTCTGCATCTCTGTCTCTTCTACTCTCCTTGTGTATGTGTGTGTATGCATGTGTAGGGGTAAGCTATTGTGTGGGGGGGTTGGTAAAAGAGAAAGATGATGATGGAAGTGAAAGGAGAGCGAGAGGAGAGAGAAAGAGAGAGAGGAGAGAGAGAGAGAGAATTGGAAGCTGGTTTACTCTGAGAGTGAAATCAGTTTACAGATAGTATCCCTCACCAAGTTAGCGTTCATGTAGCTCAGAGATACATCTAAAAGTCTCAACATTAAAAATCTGTCCCATAGCTACCAAAAGTATACCAAAAAATCACCATGATGAAAGAATGATTCAGTGCTACAAAGAAGGATTATACTATAAATAGCAGCTTCTTAATTGGTATTAGTGGGATTCTGAAATAATTCCTCCAATGAAGTTAATATTTCAGCAAATTAAAGATTACATTTTTTTTTTCTAAGCATAAAATCTCTCTCACTTCATTAGCTGTGTCAGTCTACAGGTCCCAAAGTTATATTTGCAATAAAAAGCTATATTTTCAATCAAATTTGTTAAAACAAATCTTAGTAGATGAATCAGGTTTTGACCCTAACAATATTGGTGGTGGTTGTTCTTATAAATAAATTCTGTTAGGCTGAGTTTCTAGACAGTTAAGATTACATCCAAATATAGGGGAGGCAGGCACAATAGGAAAAAAGAAAATAGAATTATCAGACTACACGCAGTATTGCAGTACACATATAACTTCTGGACTATGACAGACCTCGAAGTAGTTTCTAGCTACTATTTCCTACCCATTAGTCCATTCATATGTAAAACACACTCTTCAGGTTAACTGCTTTCAATTTGGTTACTCACTTCTGTCCTGTGTCCTCTTCTAAGAGATTGTAGGGCAGAGAATGTAAGAAATATCCTAATTTCAAATATAGTTTAAATTAGGAAGCATAGGCCTAATGTAATTCTCATTCCTCATTGTAAGTTAATCTACCCAGTTGTCTTTTCTTGTATTTTATAGAAGTTTCTGAGTTCTTGGGTTAACAAGACATATTAATAATATGCTTTGGACATATTACCTGATTTTTTTTCTATCAATATATATTTAAATATGCTTTATTGGTATACAGCTATTTGGTAAAACCAGTGTAATTTACTTTTTTCCCTAATATGCATATGAAAACAAATGATTCTGCTACGTGTCTACTACTATTGTGCTACAAGTATTACTACTGGTCCCACTATTTTTACTTTTGTATTAATACCGCTGTTATTGCTGCTATTACTGCTATTATTGTTTTGATGTGTGCCACCATCTTCTGATTATTATACAGTGGACAAATATGTTATTTATTCCCATTTCTAAAACAATGCTTTAAAAAACAAAATAATATTATATTTTATTGATAAGAATTTTGAGCCTTCTAAATTCAGTGGCCACAGTTATTTGACTAATAAATGCTAGAGATGAGATTTGAACTCATGTAATTTAGATTCCTAAACTTGAGTTTTTAAAAATATTATTCTACATTGTCTGCATTATTTTGATATAGTATTTTGAATAAACTTAACCTTCTTTAGAAAAAAAACAGAAAAATACTGTATAGCAATAATTTTATTTCTCGTGAAGGTGGACAAGTTTTTCCTTTTAACTTTTTTTTTTTACTCCTGTGATTTGAATTGCTGTAGTCCAAGACTGAGATTATGAAATCTCAGATAAGAAAAAGGGCCTTCATTTTATTTCTCTGCTATGTTCTCAGGGAGGCAACTCTATATGTGCTTGACCTTTTCAAGGTTCTGCAGTTTGATTGGATGACTGCCTCTGTTATCACCTTTTACAACCTCTCCTTCATGTGAGAAATCAGAGTGGATTGGAGAGCCAATCAAATATGGAATATTGAAAAGGTTATAGCAGCACTGCAGACTACAAGCTTTCCCAGATCACAATGGTTATTAACATTCAGGCATCTCATTCCAATGACAAAGATTGTAATAAGAACAGATGAGGCCAAGATGTGAATTTTATCCTTTTGACAATGATCAGATGGGAAATGGATAAATCTGGAGGACTGCCTTACCCACTCTTCTCTTACTGAGCTGCGTGTTTATAATCCTGTGAATTGACTTCAGTGTCATGAATGAGGGTCATGTTGACATAAATCAGGACCAGAAGTGCATCTTCCTGCACATTGCTTTGGGCCACTCTTTACTATTATAATTGCCTTTTTCTGTGCTTTCACTCCCTTGCCCTATTTCTGTGTGGCATTTAAAAGTGAAATTGGCTTTTGAAATATTGGCTCCTTTCTTTTTCATTAGGACACAGGCTTCCTAAAAGAGTCAGCCAGAAATGCCATGAAGTGGTTGGTGGGAGAGTATCTTAAAGTCTTATTAAATACATAATTAACTTTACTATTGAAAGCAATACATGGTATTAAATTCAAATGGCAGGGCTAGTGCTTGAACTGTTACATGGAGTCTAAATGTATTGCTGGTATATTTACTGTGTTTATTCACTTCGGACAGCATATCACTGGGGTTATTTTTATATTACATATTTTCTAATATATTTTGTTAAATAATTTTACAGGTTTTTTTTTTCCTTTTTTAAGTCTCTTATATTGCCAAATACTTTGGAAAATGCCAGAGAACCAGCCTTTCATGAACAATTTGTATTATAGTGCCACTTTTTACATCCTTGTAAAACGGAGATGGGAAAACATATACTTTTTAAGACATATCTAAAACTTGAACATAATATATTACGCTTATACCTATTCCAGCTGATGCTACTATTTATATATCTGATTCAAATGAAGAAGAATAAAATATTTCACAACACTCAGGAAAAAAAACAAAAGGACCTGGAAATAAACAACTGTGCTCATGAGTGTTGTATTTTTTCCTTCATATAACAAAACAATTTACTACATCTCTAGGAAAGAAAATATGTTTTTCTGATTAAATTCTTGATGCAATAAATCTTGCATCTGTCATCTGTTCACAGCAACTTAGAAAAAAAGTTTCCATATAGCCTTAATTAAAGGTCAGTTCAGAATTTTGTGAATAAGTCTTTCTGAAGTTTTCTAATCTTGGTGAATATATGAATGCCTCAACCGCTGTGCCATAAAACCTGCTGTTTCGAGCTTAGATCTGCACTGTTGTCATCTCCTCCACACAGCTGGGAATCTCCTCTTAAACCAAGGCATCCCAGTGTGTGAAAGGCACACAGAACTATGCAGATGCCAGAGCTGGACCATTTGCCTGTTAGAGCTTCTTTCATAAAACAAGAAAGAAAAATAACTGATCATTACATAGAAATATTTCTTCTTTAGAAGTCTTCATTAAAAACAAAGATGAAGTTTTTTGCTTGTCTCCAATTATACCAATAAAACTAATTAATTCGCTAAATTGTTACAAGAAACTTAGCCATGGAATGGACTCAATTTCCCCTTTGTTTAGTTGGGTTGTATTTCTCCCTAAAATATGTCCCATTCTACTCTAGCATGTTTTAATTTAATTCCATCACACAGCAGCCTATCCATGACATTTAGTAAGGGCCTACCGAATCTTATACTTACCTATCTTACCTGCTGGGCAGTTCAACACAGCTGTTTAAGCTGATAGACCCAGCCCTACAACACAAAGCGGCCATCCTATAAAAAGAATATTCAGGAGTATGCTCAGAACGTTCAAAGTTCAGAATCACTTGTCCTCCTCTAGTGACAATAGTTCTCCTGCGCACCAGCTTTGCTACTTTTGTTTTCACCCCTTGATGCAAAGTTTTGTCTTCTCAACTTGACCTGCTTTTTCTTTTATTGTTGATTCAGATAATCACTATATTTACACATCTGTTTTGTTTGTAAGTGACTGAAAACAGCTCAAACTTTACGACAAAAATGGTTATTGGTGCCTTTGTTGAATTCCTAAAATGTCATGAGAATATTTTTCTCCCAGTTTCTCACCAATGTTTTTCTCTATGTTCATTTCATTCTCTAATAAGATTTCTCCATTTGAGAAAGAAAAGATGGCTACCAGATACTCAAGAATACTATTTTACAAACTTAGTAATCCCAGGAGAAAGAGAATATCTTTTAAAAATTGTTCTAACAGAAGTAGCAAGGAGTAATCACATTTGCTCAGCTTTGGTCACAGACTCACTTCAGAACTTATTACCGTGACCACTGCAGTGGAGTTCTGTATCTCTCAGTCTGAGTAATAGAGTTTATCTAGATATAGGCATGTAGGAATAGTCCCAGCCATACCACATGGATTAAACTGGGAAAGAATGAAGTGGTAGGCTGAATAATATGCCTCCCCCAACCTTTTCAAGATGGCCATGTTCTAATCTCCAGAACCTGTGAATACGTTACTTTGAATGGGAAAAGGAACTTGGCAGATCCAATTCAGTTGAGAATCCTGAGATCTGAGGTTATGCTAGCTTATGCAGGAAAGCTCAACCTAACCAAAGAATTCTTATAAAAATGAAGTAGGAGGTTCAGATTCAGAGAAGAAAATGTAATAATGGAAACAGTAATCAGAATGAAGCCATTGCTGGAAGGGGCTGGAAGCTGAGGAACATAGTGTAGGTGGCTTCTAGGAACTGAAAAAGATAAGAAATGGATATACCCCAAGAACCTTCAGAGGGAGCCAAGATCAAGAAAGACCTTAATTTTAGAACACTGAGATTTATTCTGAACTTCTGTCCTACAGAAGTATAACTTTTTTTTTTTTTTTTTTTTTTTTTTTTTTTTTTTTTTTTTTTTGAGACGGAGTCTCGCTCTGTCGCCCAGGCCGGACTGCGGACTGCAGTGGCGCAATCTCGGCTCACTGCAAGCTCCGCTTCCCGGGTTCACGCCATTCTCCTGCCTCAGCCTCCCGAGTAGCTGGGACTACAGGCGCCCGCCACCGCGCCCGGCTAATTTTTTGTATTTTTAGTAGAGACGGGGTTTCACCTTGTTAGCCAGGATGGTCTCGATCTCCTGACCTCATGATCCACCCGCCTCGGCCTCCCAAAGAGAAGTATAACATTTTAAGCCATTAAATTTGTTGTAATTGGTTACAGCAGCAATAAAAATTAATACACATGATTCTCTCAAAAGATATTGGGCAGAAATAAACATATGTTTATGAAATGTGGGTAGGAGCTTATGTTTTCACTGTCTTACAAGATGTTTCTAACTCTCAGTTCCCTTTACACTCGATAAATTACACACTTTTTAAGAGTTGTCACTATGTCCTGATTATGTTTTACTCTCTCAAAGCAACCTGGTCCATGGTCATCTAAACATAAATATAAATTTAATTGATTTTATTTGGCATCCTACAATCACAACTACAGTAAAAATGACAGAGGCACCCTCTTATCTGAGATTTCACTTCCTGTGGTTTCAGTTACAGCTATCTACCAAGGTCTGAAAATGCTAAATAGAGAATTTTAAAAATAATCAATTCATAAGTTTTAAATTGTGCACCAGCTGCTCTGAGCAGCATCATGAAATCTCACACCATTCTGCTCCATCCTCCCCCAGGAAACAAATTATCCCTTTGTCCAGCAGATCCATGCAGTCTACGCTACCCACCCATGAGTCACTTAGTAGCAGTCACAGTTATCCAATTCATGGCCAAGCTATCACAGTTCTTGTGTCCTAGTATCCCTTATTTTACTTAATATTGGTCCCAAAGCACAAGAGTAGTGATGTGGCAATTCATATATGCCAAAGAGTAGCAGTAAAATTCTTCTCTTAAGTGAAATGGTGCAAGTTCTCAACTGAATAAAGAAAGAAAAAAAAAATCATATGCTGAGGTCGCTAAGATCTACAGTGTAGAATGAATCTTCTATCTATGAAATTGTGAAAAAGGAAATAGAAATGTGTGCTAGTTTTGCTGTCACACCTCAGTGTACAAAATTACAACCACAGTGCATGATAACATTACATTTGTGTGTGGAAGACATAAACAGAAACATGTTCTGATTGATGACAATTGGGTTTGGTGCTATCTGTGGTTTCAGGCATACATTGCAGGTTGTGAAACTTGTGGAGCAGCGGGGACCACTGTAACTCCTTTCTGGTTTGTTTTTAGCACTTTGGTGAGCAAGAGTGTAACATGGAATATGAAAGATCAATCTGAGAAAGACAGAAACAGGCAGACAGCGAAGCAAATGAAGGTTGGGCAGTAGAAAAGACTATCTCTGGAAAGCACATCAGAATAGAATTCAAGCCAGTCTGACACAGAGGGTCATGTAAGCATGCTGGGGTGGGATTATTTACAGATAAGAATAAGACATTGAATTAAATTTAGATAAACAATAAACAGTCATACTAACTTAGAAGTGACTTGCAAAGAAAGTAACATTTCAGTGATTTTCAATTTTATTATGCTATTTAAAGCACTCATTTCAGGTTTCAGAGTATCACTATGCTCTAAGAGGGCCAATGAAATACTTATTCTAACAACCGTCCCAGCAGCTTTTGATCCTGGTGATCATTGGGTGACTTTCAAGAAACAGTGCTACAAGGCAAAGGCAGTCAGAGGAAGGACCAGGCAAAGTAACGAGTACAAAACACAGAAAGATGTCCGAGTCAATGACTCAGATCAGAATTCCAAGCAGACAAGGCAATGAGGGATGTAAAACGTGAATTATGATGCTGAGGCATTCTTTTTCTGTTTTAACCCAAAACATTGGACTTTTCTTCCTAAGAGGATAGAATCCAGCCTCAAAGCATAAGAAAGCTTCAAATCAGGAACTCATCATATTAAAAACTTTACTTATAGTGTGGTGCATAGGTCAGCTTCATCAGCATCACTTGGAAGCTTGTTAGAAATGCAGAACCTCAGGCCACATCCCAGATATACTAAACTGACTTTACATTTTAACCAGACTTCTAAGAAATCCATACGCACATAAACATTTGAGGAATGATGATTAGCAGACTCATCAGCTACTTTCATTATTCAAACTGCATAGCTTATCAAATAGGCTCTTGACTTTTGACGGGGTAAGTGAATGAGATCTATAATATAAAAGGGAACTGATAAGGCTTATTAACTATTTATTTGGATTATGAATATGAAATGTTAAGCAGAATGAAATGCAATATTCAGAAAAGCAGAAAAAAATTAGAATCTTGCTCTCCTTGCTCCAATCATACTAAGAATGAATCAGAATGAATGGGTTGATTGTCCAAACATCTAGTCTTTTTTTTTTAAATTAATACAATAAGTCTGGTTAATTGCTTTAAGACAACTCAGCTCTTCTTTCATAACTTCCTTCCATATAGTATCCTGTGGTCTTGAGAGGAACTCAAATTCCCCTCTTGTCTTAATAAGTCTGATAACTTGAAAGTTTTAATAACTATATGTTGGCTCCAAAAATGTACAATGGTAAAAATACCTCCAGAGAGGCCATTTGACCTGGATGTCATAAAGAATATATGACTCTGGAAAGCTAGATATCAAAACTCTCACTCCTGATATACACTGGAGAGAAGAGATTTCTGTGATCTATATATACACCCGGGTCAAAGTATAGTCCTCTAGGAGAGCCTGAGATATCATCTTGCTCTCTCTGTCTGAGGATCAGGCCTTCAGGAGGATAATAAAAATTCATTAACTACTGTGAACTGGCTTTGTGTTTACCTTTGGACCCATAGAAAGGTGCAATTAACATGATGAAAGGTCTCAAACCATAATAAACTTCTTAGTTTAATTATTTTTGTAAAACCTCCAAGTGATTCATAGCGTCTGAATGATTAAGTTCTGTGAAAAACCTGTTTAGATGTCTTGATTATGGGATAAAGATAAAAGCAGAGTGAAATATTGCTGAAACAAAGATGTTTTATTTGTGTTAATAAAGTGAGCACTGGGATGAGTAAAATTACAGGGTGATAAACATATTAAGAAGAAGAGAGTATAGTCTTTGACCTCAAGACACCAGTAATGTAAGACAGGAGAAAAAAAGAAAGAGTAAATATTTAAGTAAATAAAAGACAGAATACAAATAAATTGAATATTGAAGAAAACAATTATTTTTTTACAAAGAATTGCTCTAGAAAAATAATGAGAAAAAATAGTTTCTAACAGAGAGATGATAAGGCTTGATCAATAAAGATTTTATAACACAATTTAAATTTCAACAGGTAGAAAATGAGGAAACAATCAGCATGAGAGAAAATCCAGAACCATGAATGTCTGTCTATTTGGAAAATATATGGAAAAGTAAATGTATGGAGATGCGAAATATATGAAGGAACTAAATGGAGAAACTTTTAAACAATTATAAGATATATGATGAGATATGACACTATGTTTATTCAATGATATTACTGTCTTGCTTAAGGTAGAAAAAAATATTTTATAAAAAGATTTTTGAACTTGAAAATGTAACAATTGAAACAATTCAACATGAAGCGTAGTGAGGGAAAAAAAAGAATGAAAAACGTGGATAGATTGTCAAAAAACCAGGAGACAATTCATGCAGGCATGAATCTAAATATATGAGGTCCCTAAAGTGGGCTGGGGATAACAAAAATATTCTTGTAATAATGACCAAAAGTGTTCCAAGAATCTCAACAAAACTCAATAATAAAAACATGAAATACAAAGCATATAAAAATCAAATTGCAGCCGGGTGCAGTGTCTCACACCTGTAATCCCAGCATTTTGGAAGGCTGAGGACAGTGGATCTCCTTAGCTCAAGATTTCGAGAAGCTGGGTGTGGTCCCAGCTACTTGGGAGGCTGAGTTGGGAGGATAGCTTGAGCTTGGGAAGTGGAGGTTGCAGTGAGCTGTGATTGTGCCACAGCACTCCAGCCTGGGTGACAGAAAGAAACCTTGTCACACACACACACACACAGACAAAGATTGCTGTAAACCAATAAAAAAGACAAAACCAAGTAACATTGCAGACAGAATCACAAAGGTAAAGACGTCAGCAAAAATTTCTCATTGGAAAAAATACAAGTGAGAAGATAGAAGCAACCTCCTTAGAGTACTTAATGAAAACAATATTTAAACGTAGAATTATTTATCCAGTCAATATATTATCCAAGAAAGAAGGGGCAAAAAAAAAGAAAAAAATAGACAAATTAGACTTTATAAAAACATAAAATTTTGTGGATCAAAAAACACTATCAACAGAGTGAAATGCAACCTACAAAATGGGAAAAATGTTTTCAAATCATATATCTGATAAATAATTAATATCCAGAACACAAAGATAACTCCTAATAATCAACAATTTAAAAAGTCAAAGATAGACAAACTAATTGAATAGACATTTCTCCAAAGAAGATATACGAATAGCTAATAAGCACATAAAAGAGGATCAACATCATTAATCATTAGGAAAATGAAAATCAGAACAACAATGGGATACCACCTTACTACCACTAGCTTGCCTGCTATAAAACAGGCAAAAACATACAAACCATAAGAAATAAGTATTGGCCAGAATATGGGAGAAGTTGGAACCCTTATGCACTGTGGGTGGGAAGTAAAATGGTTAACTCACATGTGGAAAATAGTACAGGAATTTTTCTTTTTTTTTTAATTATACTTTAAGTTTTAGGGTGCATGTGCACAATGTGCAGGTTTGTTACATATGTATACATGTGCCATGTTGGTGTACTGCACCCATTAACTCTTCATTTAACATTAGGTATATCTCCTAATGCTATGCCTCCCCCCTCCCCCCACCCCACAACAGGCCCCAGTGTGTGATGTTCCCCTTCCTGTGTCCATGTGTTCTCATTGTTCAATTCCCACCTATGAGTGAGAATATGCCGTGTTTGGTTTTTTGTCCTTGCGATAGTTTGCTGAGAATGATGATTTCCAGCTTCATCCATGTCCCTACAAAGGACATGAACTCATCCTTTTTTATGGCTGCATAGTATTCCATGGTGTATATGTGCCACATTTTCTTAATCCAGTCTATCATTGTTGGACATTTGGGTTGGTTCCAAGTCTTTGCTATTGTGAATAGTGCTGCAATAAACATACGTGTGCATGTGTCTTCATAGCAGCATGATTTATAATCCTTTGGGTATATACCCAGTAATGGGATTGCTGGGTCAAATGGTATTTCTAGTTCTAGATCCCTGAGGAATTGCCACACTGACCAAAAAAATAAAAATAAAACTACCATGTGATCCAGCAATTCTATTTCTGGTTATTTACCCAAAAGAATTAAAATGAGGATCTAAAATAGATATTAGTATACCTGTGTTTAGAACAGCATTACTCACAATAACTGAAATGTCTAAGTAACCTAAATGTTCATTGATAGAAGAATGAATTAGCAAAATAAAGTCTGTACATAAAATCAAATATTATTTGGCCTTAAACCTGAAGGACATTCTGCCATATGCCACTACATAGACAAATGTTGAAGATATTATACTAAGCAAAATAAGATAACTGCAAAAAGACAAATACTGCATGATTATCCTTACATGAGGTAATGAGAGTAGTCAAAATTATAAAGAAAGAAAATAGAATGGTGGTTGCCAACATACTGGGAGAGCAAGTAATGAAAAGTTATTATTTAATGGATATGGGGCTTCCATTTTCTAAGATAAAAAATATTCTGGAGACGAAGAATGGTCTTGACTGCATAACAGTATGAAGGCACTCAATGCCACTAAACTGCACACTTAAAAAATGAAGACATTAAATTATGTAAGTATTTTATCACAAGAAAAATTATGTGTTGGGGAGGGAAATAAGGCACAAAGAAACCTATTCAGGCAAGTAAAGGTTAGAAAATGTGTCATCAACTCTCAGACAACAAGAAATGCTGGCAGAAATCTTTCAGTTATAAGAAAAATATCAGAAACCTGGATCTACACCAAGAAATGAAGATCATCATAAACGGTTAATTTTTTAGGTAAATGTCTGAGCAAAAATCAAATCTAAGAAAACTGACTAATTAAAAATTGTACCAGTATGCCATAGAATTTATATCATATGTAAAATTTAAATGCAATCATAGTACAAAGGACAAGAGGGGAAATATAAAATTATAATATTTATGGCTCATAAATTTTGATGTTAATGCATAACTGTAAACACTAAAGCAATCCACAACACACAGAAAGAAAAACAGTTTCAACTAATGCCAACAAAAGAGATAAAATGAAATGATAAAAAAAAAAAAAAACCTAACCTAAAGAAAGCAATAACTGTGGGCAAAGGGAACAAAAAGTAATGGGGAAGAAGAAAACAAAACAAAAAAAGAATAAAGCATTTAGTCTATCAATATTAATAATATTAAATATAAATGCTCAAAATATCCCATTAAAAGACAGAGATCTACAGATTAGATGAAAAAGACCTAACATTGTGTTACCTTCAAGAAATTAACTTTGAATTTTAAGATGAAAATCGGTTTTAAAAGATGCAAAAAATACAAATGCTGCTACAACTAATCAAAACCAGCTGAGAGGCTGAGTGGCAATAGTAATATGAGACAAAGTGGATTTCAGGATAAACAATATTATTAAGGCTAAGATAATTTGGTAATCATAAATCAATCAATAAAAATTAGAAAAAAGTAATTTTTTTCATTGAAAAAATCTTAAAAAATCAAAGATGGACAAAGGAGTTGAATAGACATTTCTCCAAAGATATACGAATAGCTAATAAGCACATAAAAGAGGATCAACATAATTAATCATTAGGAAAATGAAAATCAGAACTACAATTTAGTTAGCATTTCTAAACAACTGATATGTCAATGCATCAACTTAAAGGAATATGAGAAAGCATTTTGAGCTTAGTGGAAATAAAAATGAAAATGAGTTAAATAAAGCAAGGTGATTATTTAAAGGAAAAATCATAGCAATAAATGTCCATAGTAGGAAAAAACAAAGTCTCAAATCCGTGACATTATCTTCTAGTTTTAGATCCTACAAGAGGAAATGAAAATAAAATAAAAAGAATTGACTTGCTATATAAAGCTACAATAATGAAGACAATGTGGAATAGAAAAACAGATAAATGGAACAAAATAGAGAGCCCAGAAATTGATCATTATGAATATAGTCAACTGATCTTCATCAAAGGAGCAAAGATAATACAACAGGGAAAAGATTTTTTTTTTCAACAAATGGTATTAAAACAACTGTAAAACCATATGCGACAAACTTACAATTTAAAAAATCTAGACACACACTTTATACCCTTCATAAATATTAACTCCCAATGAATCAGAAGCCAAATGTGACCACAAAACTACAGAATGCCTAGAAGACTACTTATGAGAAAATGTAAATATTATTGGGTATGGTGATGCATTTTCAGAGGTGATAACAAAGGCACAATCCATTTTAAAGAGAATTGATACTCTAAAATTCATTAAAATTAAAAACTGTGTTCTTTGAAAAACAATGTCAAGACAACAAGACAAGCCACCAACTGGGAAAAAATTTTAACAAAAGACATATCTGATAAAGGACTCATACAAAATATAAAATAAAGATTTAAACTCAACAATAAGAAAACAATCTTATAAAAGTGGAACTTATGTCCATACAAAACCCTGCACACGAATGTTTATATCTACTTACTTACAATTGCCAAAACTCAGAAGCAACTTAAATGTCCTTCAATAGGTGAATGGATAAACTAACTGTGGTATATTCAGACAATGGAATATAGAACAGGGCTAAAAAAGATGATGAATCAAGCCATGAACAAACACGGAGGAAATGTAAATGCATATTACTAAATGAAAGAAGTCAATCTAAAAAGGCTATATACTATATTATTCCATTAGACATTCTGTAAAGGGCAAAACTATGAAGAGAGTTTAAAAAATAATCAGTGGTTGCCAGACGTTAGGCACAAGGTAGGTATGACTAGGTGGAGAATAGAGGATTTTTAAGGCAGTAAAGCTACTACTCTTTATGATACTATAATGGAGAACATGTCAATATACATTTGTCCAAATCCATGAAATATGCAACATCAAGACTGAACTCTAATATAAAATATGGACTTTAGGTGATTATGATGTGTCAAGGTAAGGTGATCAATTGTAACAAATATACCACCTTGTGGAGAGATGTTGACAATGGGAAGTGTACACCCATGTGAGAATGCAGGGGACCTGGGGAAATCTCTGTATCTTCAGCTCAGTTTTGCGTGAAACTAATACTGCTCTAATAATAAAGTTTCTTTTAAAAGAATTCAATTTCCACAACCAAAGTAACAAGATATTAGACACCTACTGTAACCTACATCAAAATTTAAAACACCATAAATGATCTGGGAAAACTAGATATCTACACGCAGAAGAATGAAACTAGGCCCCTATCTCTCACCATATACAAAAATAAACTCAAGATAAATTAAAGAATTAAATGTAAGATGCAAAACTATAAAGCTACTCGAGGAAAACATAAGGAGAAATGCTTCATAACCTTGGTCTGGGCAAGAACTGTTTTGGATTAAAAGTCGAAAGCACAAACAACAAAAGCAAAAATAGACAAATGAGACCACATCAAACTAAAAATTTTCTGCAAAACAACAAAAATAACACAAACAATCAACAGAGTGAAGGGACAACCTGCAGAATGGGAGAAAATATTTGCAAACTATGCATTCGACATGGAGTTAATATCCAGAATATATTAAAAAATCAACTTAATAGCAACAAAACAAACAATCTGATTTTTAAAATGATCAAAACAACTGAATAGACATTCCTCAAAAGAAAATATACAAATGACAAGCAGGTATATTAAAATATGCTCAACAGTCCTAATCATCAGGGAAATGCAAATCAAAACCACAATCAGTTATCACCTCACCCTAATTAGAATGGCCATTATCAAAAAGACAAGAAATAACAAATGCTAGTTGTGGATGTGAAGAAATGAGAACACTTATATATTGCTGGTGAGAATTTGAATTAGTATAGCCATTATAAAAAACAGAATGGAGCTTTCTCAGGTAAAAATAGAACTACTATATAGTCCACTAATTTCACTCCTGGGTGAAATATATATCCAAAAGAAATAAAATCACTGTGTTTAAGAGAAACCTGTACTCGCAAGATTATTGCAGCACTATTCAGAGAAACCTGTACTCGCAAGATTATTGCAGCACTATTCACAATAACTACAATCTGGAATCAACCAAAGTGTCTATCAACAATGGATGAATGGATAAATAATATGTGATATATACGCAATGGAATATTATTCAGCCATTAAAAATGAAATCCTTTCATTTGTGCCAACATATATAAACCTGGAAGACATTATATGAAGTTAAGCCAAATACAGAAATACAAATACCATATGATCTCACTTACTTGTGGAACTTAAAAGAGCTGATCTTATAGAGGTACAG